>NW_003571059.2:815619-1002683 GCF_000001405.40 Homo sapiens
AAGCTTTGCGGCAGTACAGCCCAGGTAATTTGCTGAGCTTGATCGGTGTCAGGGTCAGTCCAAGTGAAAGCGAAGAGAGGCTGGGATGAAGGGTGCAAAGGAATAGTAAAGAAAGCACGTTTGAGATCCAGAACAGAATAATGGGTTGTAGAGGCAGGTATTGAGGATAGGAGAGTATATGGGTTTGGCACTACGGGGTGGATAGGCAAAACAATTTGGTTGATAAGGCGCAGATCCTGAACTAATGTGTAAGCCTTGTCTGGTTTTAGGACAGGTAAAATGGGAGAATTGTAAGGGGAGTTTATAGGCTTTAAAAGGCCATGCTGTAGCAGGCTTTAATCCTTTTAAAGCGTGCTGCGGAATGGGATATTGGCGTTGAGTGGGGTAAGGGTGATTAGGTTTTAATGAGATGGTAAGGGGTGCATGATCGGTCACCAAGGAGGGAGTAGAGGTATCCTATACTTGTGGGTTAAGGTGGGGGGATGCAAGAGGAGGAAGCAAAGGAGGCTTTGGATTGGGAAGAATGGCAGCAATGAGATATAGCTGTAGTCCAGGAACAGTCAGGGAAGCAGATAATTTAGTTAAAGTGTCTCAGCCTAATAAGGGAACTGGGCAGGTGGGGATAACTGAAAAGGAGTGCTTGAAAGAGTATTGTCTAAGTTGGCACCAGAGTTGGGGAGTTTTAAGAGGTTTAGAAGCCTAGCTGTCAATACCTACAACAGTTATGGAGGCAAGGGAAACAGGCCCTTGAAAAGAAGGTAATGTGGAGTGGGTAGCCTCCATATTGATTAAGAAGGGGACGGGCTTACCTTCCACTGTGAGAGTTACCTAGACTGTGATGGTCCTGTAGGCTTCTGAGGCGATCGGGATCGGGCAGTGTCAGTCTTCAGCTGCTAAGCCGAGAAGATCTGGGAAGGAGTCAGAGAGCCTTGGGCCAGAGTTCTAGCTGCTCTGGGAGTGGCTGCCAGGTGAGTTGAACAGTCCGATTTTCAGTGGGGTCCCGCACAGATGGGATGCGGCTTAGGAGGAATCCCAGGCTGTGGACATTCCTTGGCCCAGTGGCCAGATTTCCAGTACTTGTAGCAAGCTCCTGGGGGAAGAGGTTCTGGAGGAACCCCTGGCAGCTGCGGTTCAGGCGTTTGGAGTTCTCGTGTGCTGGAGATGTGGCTGGGGTTTGTCTCATCTGGATACTGGAGTGGAGGCAAGGAATTGCAACTCAGAAATATGTTGCTATTTGGCTGCCTCTACTCTATTACTGTACACCTTGAAGGCGAGGTTAATTAAGTCTTGTTGTGGGGTTTGAGGGACAGAATTTAATTTTTGGAGCTTTATTTAATGTTGGGAGCAGATTTGGTAATAAAATGTATATTGAGAATAAGACGGCCTTTTGACTTAGGGTCTAGGGCTGTAAAGCGTCTCAGGGTTGCTGCCAAATGAGCCATGAACTGGGCTGTGTTTTTAAATTTGATGAAAAAGAGCCTAAACACTATCTGATTTGGGAGAGGTCAGATAAAGAAAAAGGAGCATTAACCTTGACTATGCCTTTAGCTTCAGCCACCTTTTTAAGAGGAAATTGCTGGGCAGTTGGGGGAGGGCTAGTCATGGAATGGAACTGTAAGCTGGACCGGGTGTGAGGAGGGGAGGTGATAAAAGGATTATAGGGTGGAGGAGCGGAGGCTGAGGAAGAATTGGGACCCAGCTCGGCCTGGCGAGGAGGGGAGATGTCAGATGGGTCTGTAGAAAAGGAAGATTAGAAAGACTCAGCGATGCTTGGGGTTGGGACTGACGGGACAGGCGGGAGGGAAAGAAGGAAGATTTGGGACGAGTTGCACTGGGCATAGAGACTAGGGAGGGACCGATGTGTAAAAGAATGCCTGGATGTCAGGCACCTCAGACCATTTGCCCATTTTACAACAAGAATTATTTAGATCTTGTAGGATGGAAAAATTGAAAGTGCCGTTTTCTGGCTATTTGGAACCACTGTCAAGTTTGTATTGGGGTCAAGCAGCATTGCAGAAGAAAATAAGGCATTTAGGTTTTAGGTCAGGTGTGAGTTGAAGAGGTTTTAGGTTTTTAAGAACACAGGCTAAGGGAGAAGAAGGAGGAATGGAGGGTGGAAGGTTGCCCATACTGAAGGAGGCAAGCACAGAGAAAAGAGAGAGTAGAGACATGGAGGGAAGGGGTTCAGGGGTTCTTACCTTCCAGAAAAGCGGGAAAGGGGTCAGGGCACAGAAGTAAGGGATTGGGGTGCAGAGACAAGAGGTCGGGGTGTGGAAATAAGGGATCGGGGTGCAGAGATAAGACGTCAGGGCACAGAAATAAGGGATCGGGGGATTCTTGCCCCCTAGAAAAGCGGTACTTGCCACTAAGGGTGAAGGAGAAGGGGTTGGGGGGTTCTTGCCCCCCCAGAAAAGCAGAGAAGGGGTAGAGACACAGAGAAGGAGTTGGGGGTTCTTGCCCCCCCAGAAAAGCAGTACTTGCCACTAAGGGTGAAGGACCAAGGCAGGCATCCCCATGTGGTCAGACACCTCTGAAACGTGGGTGAATAATCAGAGAGGTGTCCCTGCGTGATTAAACACCAAGGGAAGGCTGCCTTCCCGAGTCCATGACCGGCGCTGGAGTTTTGGGTCCACGAATAAAGCGCGTCTCCTGTCTCTACCAGAAAAGGAAAGGAACTGAAATTAAGAGAAGGGAGAGATTGAAGAGTGGAAAGGAGAAAGTGGTTGAGGGATAGTGAGAGAGGTTGGAGAAGAGAGTAAAAAGAGGCTGCTTACTGGATTTAAAATTGGTGAGATGTTCCTTGGGCTGGTTGGTCTGAGGACGAGAGGTCGTAGGTGGATCTTTCTCATGGAGCAAAGAGCAGGAGGACAGGGGATTGATCTCCTAAGGAAGATCCCCTGATTCGAGTTATGGCACCAAATTTCACTCACGTCCGTGTGAAGAGACCACCAAACAGGATTTGTGTGAGCAACAAGGCTGTTTATTTCACCTGGGTGCAGGCGGGCTGAGTCCAGAAAGAGAGTCAGCAAAGGGAGATAGGAGTGCGGCCGTTTTATAGGATTTGGGTAGGTAAAGGAAAATTACAGTCAAAAGGGGGTTGTTCTCTGGCGGGCAGGAGTGGGGTTCACAAGGTGCTCAGTAGGGGAGCTTTTGAGCCGGGATGAGCCAGGAGAAGGAATTTCATAAGATAATGTCATCACTTAAGGCAAGAACAGGCCATTTTCATTTCTTTCGTGGTGGAATGTCATCAGTTAAGGCAGGAACCGGCCATCTGGATGTGTACATACAGGCCACAGGGGGATATGATGGCTTAGCTTGGGCTCAGAGGCCTGACAGTCTGGATCACCTGACCTGGTGATCCGCACACCTCGGCCTCCCAAAGTGCTGGGATTACAGGCATGACCCACTGCACCTGGCCTTAGAAAACTTCTTAAATATTAAAATGTATGTTATGTGTATTTTGCCACAATTTTTGAAAAGTACCTTCTGGTGTTTAGAGACAGAAGATGAGTGGTTGCCTAGGGCCGGGAGAGTGAGGGGATCGTGGTGATGGGCAGCTGGTCGGCATGGGGTTCTGAAGGGCAGTGATGACAACATTCTAAAATTAGACTGTGTTGACGGTTGCACCAACTCCGTGAATACCACAAAATTTAAACCATTGAATTATGCACTTTTAATGGGTAATTGTATGGCATGTAAATTATATCTCAATAAAGTTATATTTTTAAATACCAAAAAAAGGCCGGGTGCGGTGGCTCACGCCTGTAATCCCAGCACTTTGGGAGGCCGAGAAGGGCGGATCACGAGGTCAGGAGATGGAGACCATCCTGGCTAACATGGTGAAACCCCATCTCTACTTTGAAAAAAAAAAAAAAAAAAAAAAGATTACCCGGACGTGGTGGTGGGCACCTGTAGTCCTAGCTACTCAGGAGGCTGAGGCAGGAGAATGGCATAAACTCGGGAGGCAGAGCTTGCAGTGAGTCGAGATTGCGCCACTCAGGAGGCTGAGGCAAGAGAATGGCATAAACCCCGGAGGCAGAGCTTGCAGCGAGCCGAGATTGCGCCACTGCACTCCAGCATGGGTGACAGAGCAAGAGTCCATCTCAAAAAAAAAAAAAAAAAGATTAGTAATATCCTCTGTGTCACTTACCACTTAAGTGATTGAATCACGACTTGAAATTCATCATCTCAAACATGGCTTAGAGTCTGTAGAGGGGGGACAGTCCCAGGAATGCTGGTGTGGGCTTAAGGCTGAATTAAATAGATCCAGATGGCTCACACCTGTAATCCCAATACCTTGGGAGGCCGAGGCAGGTGGGAGGCTGAGGCAGGCGGATCACTGGAGCTCCTGGAGCGAAGAAAGGATGCTAGTGGAAAAACTGGTGAAATCAGAATAAAGTCTATAGTTTTATTTTTTAAAGGAGGCTGGGCGTGGTGGCTCATGCCTCTAATCCCAGCACTTTGGGAGGCTGAGGCAGGTGGATCAGTTGAGTTCAGGAGTTCGAAACCAGCCTGGCCAACTTGACGAAACCCCATCTCTACTAGAAATACAAAAATTAGCTGGGCGTGGTTGTGGGTGCCTCTAATCCCAGCTACTCAGGAAGCTGAGGCAGGAGAATTGCTTGAACCCAGGAGGCGGAGGTTGCAGTGAGCTGAGATCACACCATTGCACTCCAGCCTGGGCTACAGAGCAAGATTCCATCTCCAAATAAGAGAGACATGACAATTAAATAAATTGTGTAATCTTGGATTAAATCCTAAACCAAATATATGTCACTGGTAAAACAAGTGGTGAAATTTGAATAAAGTGGATAGATCAGACAATAGTGTCATATCAGTGCTATTTCTTGACCTTGAACATTAATAACAGAATGTCCTTGGTTTTGGGAAATATAACCTGAAGTGATTAGAGGTTTAGGGCATCATATGCAAATTAGACACACTTTCTTCGGGGAGAGAGGGAGAGGGAGAGAGGCTGAATGATGAAGCAAATGTGGTAAAATGCTAACTTTGGGGAAATCTGGATGAAGAAATTACAGATTTTTTTTTTTTTTATAGACAGGGTAACACTCTGTCACCCAGGCTAGAGTGCAGTGGCACGATCATGGCTCACTGCAGCTTCTACCTCCCTGGGCTCAGATGACCCTCTCACCTCAGCCTCCCAAGTAGCTGGGACTATAGGCGCACAGCACCACACCTGGCTAATTTTTGCATTTTTTTTTCCCCCAGGCTCGTCTCAAGCAATCCACCCACCTCGGCCTCCCAAAGTGCTGGGATTACAGGTGTGAGCCACTGCACCTGGCCAGAAATTCTTTAAACTATTTTTGCAAGTCTGGAATTATGTCAAAATTAAAAGCTCAAAATAATAAAAGACAATATTCTTATATTTCTTTGGTGAAGGTAACTATGTTATGGCTGAGAGGGTGGCTGAGGTCTGAGGATCCAGCCTACATAAGTCTCCTCCATAGAGGGCATCCAAGCGCTCCGTAGGGGGAAGGATAAAGAAAACACCCAGAGTTATGACAGCTGTGTAAGGGGAAACGCCAGCACCGAGTACTGAATCTTCAGTAAATAAGAAGGAGGCGGGCTGGGTGTGGTGGCTCACGCCTGTAATCCCAGCACTTTGGGAGGCTAAAGTGGGCTGATCACTTGAGGTCAAGAGTTCGAGACTAGCCTGGCCAACATGGGGAAACCCTGTCTCTACTAAAAATACAAAAATTAGTCGAGTGTGGTGGCACACGCCTGTAATCCCAGCTACTTGGGAGGCTAGAACAGGAGAATTGCTTGAACCCAGGAGGTGAAGGTTGCAGTGAGCTGAGATTGCACCACTGCACCCCAGCTTGAGGGACAGAGTGAGATTCCGTCTTAAAGAGAAAAAAAAAAGAATTAGCACATTTGTTTGCCTCAAGAAGATACAACTAGTCTTGTACAGTAGTCACATGTATCCACCAGGATATATTCCAAGGCCCCAGTGGATGCTGAAAACTACATAGTACCTTACATGTATATATATATGTATATACATATATACACATATACGTATATGTATACATACATGTATATATGCATGTATGTATATACATATATGCATATATACATACATGTATATATACATGTATGTATATACATATATGTATATGTATGTATACACGCATACATGTATGTATACACGCATATATGTATGTATATACATATATGTATGTATACACGCATACATGTATGTATATACATATATGTATGTATACACGCATACATGTGTGTATACATATATATGCATGTATGCATGTGTGTATATATACATATATGTGTATATATACGCATATACATGTATGTGTATATATGCATGTGTATATATACATGTACGGTACTATGCAGTATATATACACATATATGTATATATGTATACATATATGTATAAATGTATATATGTGTATATATATAAAAGGTATATATGTATATATGTGTGTATATATAAAATGCATGAATTTCTTTTTTCTTACTGTAGATCTTAACAACTTCTGCATAGAATTTTTTTTTATTAAGTGGAGAGTTAGTTACTTACTTAAAAGAAATGTTTCTTGGCTGGGTGTGGTGGCTCACACCTGTAATCCCAGCACTTTGAGAGGCCGAGGCAGGAAGATTCACTTGAGGTGAGGAGTTGGAGACCATCCTGGCCAACGTGGTAAAAACCGGTCTCTACTAAAAGTACAAAAATGAGCTGGGCGTGGTGTTGGGTGTCTGTAGTCCCAGCTACTCAGGTGGCTGAGGCAGGAGAATTGCTTGAACCCACAAGGCAGAGGTTGCAGTGAGCTGAGATCACACCACTGCACCACAGCCTGGGCAACAGAGCAAGACTCTGTCTCAAAAAAAAAAAAAAAAGAAAGAAAAAGAAAAAGAAAAGAAATGTTTCTTTTCTTATTAAGTTCTTTAAATGAAAAGCTTTTCTTTTCACTTTTATTTTATTGAAACATTATAACACTATCTTTGAAGAAGTTAGTGTTATCATTCCATTCTGATGAAACCAATTAACTTATCCAAGCATATGTATACTGTACACAGAGAAGCCAACGTCAAAACCCCTATTTTTATCTTTTTAGATTCAGCAGATACATGTGCAGGTTTTTTATGAGTATATTGCATGATGCTGAGGCTTGCATTAATGATCTAGTCACCAAATAGGTAGATTTTCAAGCCTTGCTCCCCTCCTTACCCAATGTTTAGCGCTCTCACTTATAAGTGAGAACATGTGGTATTTGGTTTTCTTTTCTTTTTTTTTTTTTTTTTTGAGATGGAGTTTCACTCTTGTTGCCCAGGCTGGAGTACAATGGCACCATCTCGGCTCACTGCAACCTTCACCTTCCAGGTTCAAGCAATTCTCCTGCCTCAGCCTCCCGAGTAGTTGGGACTACAGGCATGTGCCACCACACCCGGCTAATTTTGAATTTTTAGTAGAGACAGGGTTTCTGCATGTTGGTCAGGCTGGTCTCGAACTCCCGACCTAAGGTGATCCACCTGCCTCAGCCTCCCAAAGTGCTGGGATGACAGGCGTGAGCCACCGTGTCTGGCCAGTATTTGGTTTTCTGTTTCTGTGTTAACTCGCTTAGGATAATGGCCTCTAGCTGCATCCATGTTGCTGCAAAGGACATAATCTTGTGATTTTTCAAGGCTGTATAGCGTTCTGTGGTGTATACATATCACATTGTCTTTATCCAGTCCACCTCTGATGGGACCTGGGTGGATTCCATGTCTTCACTATTGTGAATCCTGCTGCAATGAACATACAAGTGCATGTGTCTTTTTGGTAGAATGATTTATTTTCCTTTGGCTATATACCCAGCGATGGGATTGCTGGGCTGAATGGTAACTCTGTTTGTAGTTCTCTGAAATATCTCCAAACCAAACTGCTTTCCACAGTGGCTGAACTAATTTACACCCACCAACAGTGTATAAGTGTCCCCTTTGCTCCACAATCTCACCAGCATCTGTTAATTTCTGGCTTTTCAGTAATGGCCATTCTGACTGGTGTGAGATGGTATTGTTGAGGGATAATTTAGGAATCAGAGAGACCGAGGGGTTGAGGAGGATTTATTATTATTATTATTATTTAGGTGCACCGGCCCCAGTCAGATTAACATCCAAAAAGACTGAGGCTCGAACAGAGAGTCCGGTTACCTTTTAAGCATTTTGTGGGGTTGGGGGAGATCTGTGCAGGGGGAAGCATATTACAGAAGCAAGAAACAAAGGCAGTTATTCAATTGAGACATGCATCACATTATTCCTTACTTTTCAAGAAAAATATGTTTTACGACTTGAGGTTATCCTGTCTAGTGATCTTGCAGCCGCACGGCAAGAGAAACAGGGTCTTCACAATGCCTGGGAAAGGGAGAGATAAGGCTCACTAGCCACAGACAGAAAAACAGGCAGTTCATGTTTAAAGGACTCCACCTCTTTCTCTTCCTCGGGGGGAACTGGGTTTTCTTAAATACAACTGAGTTTTTGTTTACACATTCTGTAATTTCTTTTAATTCCTGTTCCAGTATCTCACTGTGAAACTCCCTATGTTTTTATACGATTCTCAGGGGGTTTCCTCTGGGCATGATTGGGCACAACTTCCCACAGTCAGCTCTGGGTACGACCTCCACATTGCAGAATTGAGAAGTTGACCCAGAAATGCATTTTGGGCTGAGCAGACAATTGTCAGAGTTGCTGGCTAGACCACAGATGTGTCAGAGGGACCACGGCCTTTCTGTAAGCTCATGGTCAGAGGCGGAGGGGAGTTGTGAACGTTCTGATGAAAGCAGTCAACGTGAAAGCGCTCTGGTGATGGGCGCTGGTGCTCACCCACCACTTCCTGTGTATCTATCTCCCTGGCCCGCCCGGCTCAGTCCCCACTGCTCAGCACTAGGCCGGCAGAATCTGAGCGATGTCTTCCACACTCCCTGCCCTGCTCTGCGTCGGTGAGTTCTGGCGTGGAAGGGGAATGGGATCACGGTGTGCCTGGGAGGCAACAGGTCTCATTACTCCCGTCTTCCAGGGCTGTGTCTGAGTCAGAGGATCAGCGCCCAGCAGCGTGAGTCCTTCCTTCAAAGCCCAGGGTCACTCTTCCGGGTTCAGGCCAAGCTCCTTCCACCCAAGCACGGCTGGGGAGAGGGGACAGGGTGCTGGCTTCCCAGGAGAGCTTGGGGCCAGCAGCTGGGTGGAGCCTAAGGTTGGGGGGAGGGGGCTCCGCTGGAACTCCAGCCTCTGATTCCCTTCCAGAGACTCTCCCAAAACCGTTCATCTGGGCCGAGCCCCATTTCATGGTTCCAAAGGAAAAGCAAGTGACCATCTGTTGCCAGGGAAATTATGGGGCTGTTGAATACCAGCTGCACTTTGAAGGAAGCCTTTTTGCCGTGGACAGACCAAAACCCCCTGAGCGGATTAACAAAGTCAAATTCTACATCCCGGACATGAACTCCCGCATGGCAGGGCAATACAGCTGCATCTATCGGGTTGGGGAGCTCTGGTCAGAGCCCAGCAACTTGCTGGATCTGGTGGTAACAGGTAACTGTCCGGTTCTCTAACTGGAGAGTGATCTCAGTCTGCATCCGGGATGCAGCATCATCTATGAACTCTTCCAAGCCCCACTCAGACACTGCTTGTCTCGGTAGGAGGCTGGAAGGAGGGGTGATCCCCATCACAATCCTTGCCTACAAGGGGTTGTCTGCAGACCGTGTCTCTACGTCCTAGGAGCAGATGTGTCCTCAGTCAGTTTCTCCATGACACAGATTCTGAGATAGATATTTGTATGCAGGGGTATGACTGAGGAATGTCCTCAAAAACAATGCCTGTGGGCTAGGCGCAGTGGCTTACACTTTGCTTCCCTCACCCATCACAGGTGGTGGGTTTTTTTTTTTTTTATCTGTTTTGAGACGGAGTTTCGCTCTTGTCACCCAGGCTGGAGTGCAGTGGTGCAATCTCCAGTCACTGCAACCTCCACCTCCTGGGTTCAAGTGATTCTCCAGCCTCAGCTTCCCAAGTAGCTGGGATCACAGGCACCCACCACTACGCCACATTTTGTATTTTTAGTAGAGATGGGGTTTCACCATGTTGGCCAGGGTGGTGTCGAACTCCTGACCTCAGATGATCCGCCCGCCTCACCCTCCCAAAGTGCTGGGATTACAGGTGTGAGCCATCACACCCAGCCAGGTGGTGGTTTTCTAAAAAAAAAAAAAAAAATTAGCTTTTTTTTTTTTTAACAATATGGTTGTTTATTATTATTATCAAGTATTATACATAGTTACATATACATACATAATTGTATGTGCTATACAATTAGGTTTGTTTATACCAGCAACACCAAAAACACATGAGCAATACTTTGTGCTAGGAAGGCTATGATGTCATCAGGCAATAGGAATTTTTCAGTTTCATTATAATCTTATGGGACCACCATCATATATGTGGTACATTGTTGGCCAAAATGTCATTATGCAGCTCACAACAGTATTTCATGTCCATTCAAATATCTTCTTTTGTGAAATGTCTATTTAAATCTTTTGCCTATTTTTAAATTGGGTTGCTTATATTTTGATTGATTAGGAAAAGTTATTTCTATATTCTGTGTCATATACTTGTGTTGAAATATATATATTTTTTGTCTGTGCCTTTTCATTTGCTCAGGGTCTTTGGACCTTGTTTGGAGGTTCTGGCAGGGGAACACAGCTACTCATTTATTCTTTTTTTTTTAATTTTTTTAGTATTTATTGATCATTCTTGGGTGTTTCTCGGAGAGGGGGATTTGGCAGGGTCATAGGACAATAGTGGAGAGAAGGTCAGCAGATAAACATGTGAACAAAGGTCTCTGGCTTTCCTAGGCAGAGGTCCCTGCGGCCTTCCGCAGTGTTTGTGTCCCTGGGTACTTGAGATTAGGGAGTGGTGATGACTCTTAAGGAGCATGCTGCCTTCAAGCATCTGTTTAACAAAGCACATCTTGCACCGCCCTTAATCCATTTAACCCTGAGTGGACATAGCACATGTTTCAGAGAGCACGGGGTTGGGGGTAAGGTCATAGATTAACAGCATCCCAAGGCAGAAGAATTTGTCTTAGTACAGAACAAAATGGAGTCTCCTATGTCTACTTCTTTCTACACAGACACAGTAACAATCTGATCTCTCTTTCTTTTCCCCACATTTCCCCTTTTTCTATTCGACAAAACCGCCATCGTCATCATGGCCCATTCTCAATGAGCTGTTGGGTACACCTCCCAGACGGGGTGGCGGCCGGGCAGAGGGGCTCCTCACTTCCCAGACGGGGCGGCCGGGCAGAGGCGCCCCCCCACCTCCCAGACGGGGCAGTGGCCGGGCGGGGGCTGCCCCCCAACCTCCCGGACGGGGCGGCTGGCCGGGGCTTTTTTTTTTTTTTTTTGAGACAGTCTCGCTGCAGTGCAGTGGTACAATCTCAGCTCACTGCAACCTCTGCCTCAGCCTCAATTCTCCTGCCTCAGCCTCCCAAGTAGTTGAGATTACAGGCATGTGCCACCACACCCGGCTAATTTTTGCATTTTTAGTAGAGACGGGGTTTCACCATGTTGACCAGGCTGGTCTCAAACTCCTGACCCAGGAGGTCGAGTCTTCAGTAAGCAAAGATAGTGCCACGGCGCTCCAGCCTGGGAAACAGAGCAAGACCCTGTATCATTTTTAAAAATGGTTTTAGACGGTAAATCTTCTATTGTGTGTATTTGACCAAAATAATAATTAAAAAAAAAAAAAAAGCTGGCTGCCAGGCATGGTGGCAGGCCCCTGTAGTCCCAGCTACTTGGGAGGGTGAGGCAGGAGAAACGCTTGAACCCGGGAGGCAGAGGTTGCAGTGAGCCAAGATCGTGTCACTGCACTCCAGCCTGGGCGACAGAGAGAGACTCCATCTCTAAAGAAAGAAAAAAAAAAATAGCTGGCTGCTCATCACTGAGTTTCTGGTGTGGTGGCCCCACCTTCTCTCATAGAAATGTATGACACACCCACCCTCTCGGTTCATCCTGGACCCGAAGTGATCTCGGGAGAGAAGGTGACCTTCTACTGCCGTCTAGACACTGCAACAAGCATGTTCTTACTGCTCAAGGAGGGAAGATCCAGCCACGTACAGCGCGGATACGGGAAGGTCCAGGCGGAGTTCCCCCTGGGCCCTGTGACCACAGCCCACCGAGGGACATACCGATGTTTTGGCTCCTATAACAACCATGCCTGGTCTTTCCCCAGTGAGCCAGTGAAGCTCCTGGTCACAGGTGAGGAAATGCTCAATTCCCCACACCCTTCGCCGCCATGTCCTACCTGGAGCCCTGAGGGATCCCCAGAGAGTGATGGGGAGGGTGTCCAAGGGACGTCCACTTCCTGGGTGCCTGGTTGGTCATGTGAGGAAGAACACCAGAAGCAGGAAGGAGGAGGGAGCAGAGAAAGGAATGGTAAGGCGGGTGGATCACAAGGTCAGGAGTTCGAGACCAGCCTGGCCAAGACGGTGAAACCCCGTCTCTACTAAAAATACAGAAATTAGCCAGACGCAGTGGCGGACACCTGTAGTCCCAGCTACTCAGGAGGCTGAGGCAGGAGAATCGCTTGAACCCGGGAGGCGGGGGTTGTAGTGAACCGAGATCATACCACCGCACTGCAACCTGGGCGACAGAGCAAGACTCCATCTCAAAAAAAAAAAAAAAAAAAAAAAGAATGGCAAGACCGGAGGAAACCAAAAACCCTTACTTTTTTTTCTTTATCTCCTTTTCCAGGCGACATTGAGAACACCAGCCTTGCACCTGAAGACCCCACCTTTCCTGGTGAGTAACTGGTCCTTCTAAGCTCAGACGAGCAATCAGAGCCTCCCAGTGACACTAAAAACGTGGCATTCATTCAAAATATTCATCGAGGCCAGGCGTGGTGGCTCACGCCTGTAATCCCAGCACTTTGGGAGGCCGAGATGGTGCATCATTTGAGGTCAGGAGTTTGAGACCAGCCTGGCCAACATGGCGAAACCCTGTCTCTACTAAAAATACAAAACTTAGGCTGGGCATCATGGCTCACACCTGTAATCCCAACACTTCGGGAGGCCAAGGTGGTTGGATCACAAGGTCAGGAATTCGAGACCAGCCTGACCAACATGGTGAAACCCCATCTCTACTAAAAATACAAAAATTAGCCGGGCCTGGTGGTGCTCGCCTGTAATCCCAGCTACTCAGGAGGCTGAGGCAGGAGAATTGTTGAACCTGGGATGCAGAGGTTGCAGTGAGCTGAGATCGCGCCACTGCATTCCACTCCACTGCACGACACAGCGAGACTCCATCTCACAGAAAAACAAAAACAAAACTATTATATATATATATTCATCAAGTGCATAGTATACACAGTGAACTACACTGTAACAGTCAGCCAGGCAGATATCTTGACTCTGCAGCACTTAGATTCTAGCAGGAGGAGACACACCATCGGTCAACGTCAGGATAGCACACAGGAGGGAATGATGCTATGGAAGGAAAAGACAAAGTAGAACAGACTTACAGTGATTGAAATGGCAGCTAGCAATATTAAATAGGTTTGTCCAGATGGACCTCACAGAGAAAGAAGGCATCTGAGCAAATGCGTTCAGACTTGAGTTAATCATGTGGCTGTCAGGAGAAAGGAGGCTCTGGAGAGAATGAAATGGCATCTGCCTGTGCCCTGGGGCAGGAAGATAACTGGGGTAATACAATAATAACTATGAGGCCAGGAGGGTTGAAAATGATGTTTGGAAGATGACGGTGGGATGGGCCTGGGGCGCACGGCTAGGATTACAGGAGTGAGGCCCGGCGCGGTGGCTCACGCCTGTAATCCCAGCACTTTGGGAAACCGAGGCAGGTGGGTCATGAGGTCAGGAGATCAAGACCATCCTGGCTAACACGGTGAAACCCTGTCTCTACTAAAAAAAAATACAAAAATTATCCGGGCGTGGTGGCGGGCGCCTGTAGTCCCAGCTACACAAGAGGCTGAGGCAGGAGAATGGCGTGAACCCGGGAGACGGAGCTTGCAGTGAGCTGAGATCGCGCCACTGCACTCCAGCCTGAGCGACAGAGTGAGACTCCGTCTCAAAAAAAAAAAAAAAGAAAAAGAAAAAGAAAAAAAAATAGTGAGACTTTGAATTTCACTATGTGTGTATGTGTGAGGAGAAAGAGGTAATGATGACTTAATGAGGAAAATGAGGCTTAAATAGAAGACGGGCTGGGCCGGGTGGCTCCCGCATGTAATCCCAGCACTTTGGAAGGCAGGGGCGGCTGGATCACTTGAGGTCAGGAGTTCAAGACCAGCCTGGCCAACACAGTGAAACCCCATCTCTACTAAAAATACAAACATGAGTTGGGTGTGGTGGCGCACGCCAGTAATTACAGCTACTCGGGGCTGAAGCAAGAGGATTGCTTGAACTCGGGAGGCGGAGGTTGCAGTGAGCTGAGATCACACCACTGTACTCCAGCCTCAGAGGCCTGTCATCCCAGCCCTTTGGGAGGCCGAAGCAGGCAGGTCATCTGAGGTTGGGAGTTCAAGACCAGCCTGGCCAACATGGCAAAACCCCGTTTCTACTAAAAATATGAAAAAAATTACCTGGGTATGTGGTGTGTGCCTGTAGTCCCAGCTACTCCAGAGGCTGGAACACAGTGAGACTCTATCTCAAAAAAAAAAAAAATAGAAGACATGACTGGTGCAAAGACACATGCTCACAAGTGCTAGAATGGAATTCCTCGTCAGGTTCGTCCATCTGTGGACCCTTCCACTTTACCTGCTGGATGAAGCTCCTGGGACCCGCAGGGTGAGGTGGGACCTTGTAAAGCTGCAGAACGTCATGGGGTAGACCCAAGGGAAGGAGTGCTGGGGTGGAGGAGGTCAAAACCATCCTCTTTTCTTCACTTCCCTTATCATCAGCAGACACTTGGGGCACCTACCTTTTAACCACAGAGACGGGACTCCAGAAAGGTAAGTAGACAGCTGGGGCCATAGGCTCTGAAGGAAGGGGCTGGGCATAGAGTAGACCTAGGAAGGGAATCTAAATGGGAACAAGAGGGTGTCCTTGGCCAGGCGCAGTAGCTCACACCTGTAATCTCAGCCCTTTGGGAGGCCGAGGCGGGCAGATCATCTGAGGTCGGGAGTTCAAGACCAGTCTGGCCAACATGGCGAAATCCCATCTCTACTAAAAATACAAAAAAATTAGCCAGGCGTGGTGGCGTGTGCCTGTAGTCCCAGCTACTTGGGAGGCTGAGACAGGAGAATAGCTTGAACCCAGGAAGTGGAGGTTGCAGTGAGCCGAGATCGTGCCATTGCACTCCAGCCTGGGCGACAAGACTGAGGCTCTGTCTCAAAAAAAAAAAAAAAAAAAAAAAAAAAAAAAAAAAAAAAGAGGGTGTCCTTACATCCCTGTCAGCGATCACCCTGTTCTCCTGCCTACAGACCATGCCCTCTGGGATCACACTGCCCAGAATCTCCTTCGGATGGGCCTGGCCTTTCTAGTCCTGGTGGCTCTAGTGTGGTTCCTGGTTGAAGACTGGCTCAGCAGGAAGAGGACTAGAGAGCGAGCCAGCAGAGCTTCCACTTGGGAAGGCAGGAGAAGGCTGAACACACAGACTCTTTGAAGAATGACCATGAGACACAGTGGCCATGGGTGGATCTGAAAGCTGGTGTTGAGCCTGGGCGGCGTGAGCTCTGTGTTGGACCCACGGAGGAGGGAGTCACTGCAGGGAAAGAGGGACACTGGCATTCCATTTGTCAGAGCATCCCGGACGATGCAGAGGGTGGGAGAACTACATGCTAAATTTCTTTTTTTTTTTTTTTGAGACAGAGTTTTCTCTTGTTGCCCAGGCTGGAGTGCAATGGCGCGATCTTGGCTCACTGCAACCTCTAGCTCTCCATCCCTCGGGTTCAAGTGATTCTCCTGCCTCAGCCTCCTGAGTAGCTGGGATTACAGGCATGTGCCACCACCCCAGCTAATTTTGTATTTTTAGTGGAGACGGGGTTTCTCCCTGTTGGCTGGTCTCGAACTCCTGACCTCAAGTGATCTCCCCGCCTTGGCCTCCCAAAGGGCTGGGATTACAGGCATAAGCCGCTGCGCCCAGCCACTGAATTTCTTCTGTAGACAAATCCTATGGTCTCTTCTAGGCTCTAACTATTTTTGTACCACTTACTGCAAACCATACTTTTAACCACTCTGGTCTTTTCTGAAAAGATCTCTCCTTCTTTAACAGGATGGCCATGGAAATATTTTTTTCCTACTTTGGTCTTTTTTTCTTTCCTTTCTCTGCAGGAAGCCATTCAAAATAGTTAATAACCAATATAGAATAGGTCTGTATCAAATGGTTCAGGAGGCATTGTGGCAACAACCAGTTGTAGAGAAGCAGCTTTATAAGTGAATCCTGCCAGGCACGGTGGCTCACACCTGTAATCCCAACACTTTGGGAGGCTGAGGCGGGCAGATCACCTGAGGTCAGGAGTTCGAGACCAGCCTGGCCAACATGATGAAACCCCATCTCTACTAAAAATACAAAAACTCGGCCAGGCACGGTGGCTCATGCCTGTAATCCCAGCACTTTGGGAGGCCAAGGTGGGAGGATCACCTGAGGTCAGGAGTTCGAGAGCAGCCTGGCCAACATGGTGAAACCACATCTCTACTAAAAATATAAAAATTAGCCAGGTATGGTGGCGTGTGCTTGTAATCCCAGCTACTCAGGAGGCTGAGGCAGGAGAATAGCTTGAACCCGGGAGGCGGAGGCTGCAGGGAGCCAAGATCGCACCACTGCACTCCAGCCTACGTGACAGAGCAAGATTCTGTCTCAAAAAAAAAAAGAAAAAAAAAAAATAAGTGACTCCTGGCTGCATCCCAACCATACCCCAATTCCTTCTAACCACAGAATTATTCCATCTTCTCTTCCTTTTTTTTTTTTTTCTTTTTTTTTGTTTGTTTTGTTGGGACAGAATTTCACTTTTTTTTTTTTTAATGTAAGTTTTAGGGTACATGTGCACAACGTGCAGGTTAGTTACATATGTATACATGTGCCATGTTGGTGTGCTGCACCCACTAACTCGTCATTTAACATTAGGTATATCTCCTAATGCTATCCCTTCCCCCGAGTTTCACTTTTGTCACCCAGGCTGGAATGCAGTGGTGCAATCTTGGCTCACTGCCACCTCCACCTCCAGGGTTCAAATGATTCTCCTGCCTCAGCCTCCTGAATAGCTGGGATTATAGGCATGCACCACCACGCCCGGCTAATTTTTGTATTTTTAGTAGAAATGGGGTTTCACAATGTTGGCCAGACTGGTCTTGAACTCCTGACCTCAGGTGATCCACCAGCCTCGGCCTCCCAAAGTGCTGGAATTACAGGTGTGAGTCACCGTACCCGGCCACCATCTTTGCTTCTTTATCCACACCTTGCCTTGTTCTTCAGGGCTCTGCAGAGATATCATTTCCTCCAAGAGTTTCCACAACTCCGACTTCACAAAGATAGCACTTTTTTTTTTTTTTTTGAGACAGTCTCACTCTGTAGCCCAAGCTGGCGTGCAGTGGCACAATCTCAGCTCACTGCAACCTTCGCCTCTGGGGCTCAAGCGATTCTCCTTCCTCAGCCTCCCAAGTAGCTGGGACTAGAGGCGCGCGCCACCACACCCGGTTAATTTTTTTTGCATCTTTAGTAGAGGTAGGGTTTCATCATGTTGCCCTGGGTGGTCTCAAACTCCTGAGTTCAGGTGATCCCCCCGCCTTGGCCTCTCAAAGTGCTAGGATTACAGGCGTGAGCCACTGCGCCCAGCCAAGACAACACTTTCCTCATCCCAAAGCACCTGTTAATTCCCTGTAACAGCACTTGAACCCTGATTCGGCATGCATGTCCATTTTCCTGCCTCTACCGTGAACTCGTGTGAATTGATCTATGTCAGATTTAGTGGCTGCATTCACAGCTCCCGCAACTATAACGGGGTTCTCGGGAAATATATATCAAATGAGTGAATGTATATACGGGGCTGTGGCACAGCCTGCAACTTGAGACTTCTCACTAGGGGTCTTGAAATGCTGTCTGGACACCACCATCGCTTTCCTCCCTGAGAACTTCTACTTATCAACCCATTTATATACTCATCGCATGGGTCCTCACGCCCTCCCATTATTCTGGTGCCTCATGCCGGTCAAATTTATTCTCTAAATCTGATTTTTCCATTAAATAGCAGCCTGGCCAACACGGTAAAACCCCATCTCTACTAAAAAATACAAAATATTAGCCAGGCGCAGTGGCTTGCACCCGTAATCTCAGCTACTCGGGAGGCTGAGGCAGCAGAATCACTTGAACCCGGGAGGCAGAGGTTGTGGTAAGCCGAGATTGCACCACTGCACTCCAGCCTGGTAACAGAGCGAGACTCCCTCTCAAAATAAATAAACTGCTGACTCGCGTATTTTTTCTTTACCCCAACTCATTCCTTACATGTAGGCACCTGTAATCCTAGCTACTCAGAAGGCTGAGGCAGGAGAATCGCTTGAACCTGGGAGGCGGAGGTTGCGGTGAGCCAAAATCGTGCCACTGCACTCCAGCCTGGGCGACAGAGCGAGACTCCATCTCAAAAAAAAAAAAAAAAAAACCACATAGGCTCAGTCTTTTCAGTATCTGCTTTACTGGTTCAGTAAAAGCCAGGAAACACAACTTTGTGGTAATCTGAATGTTATTGAACTGTATTTTGTTCACTTTATTGTAAATACTAGTGAACAGTGAATAAATGGTTGTATATTCCTAATAAGAAAAAAAAAAAAAAAGACCCAAAGTACAGCGAGCTGATGCCGATCTCATTTCGCAGAGGTCCGCCTGCTCTCCCCTCTCCAAGAGTGTAATCCTATGCTTAATAAACTTATGCCGCTTTGCTATGTGTGTGTATCACACCCAATTCTTTGTTCGAAACACCAAGGGCCTGGAACTTCACAGCTTTGGCTGGTAACGGGGAGCAGGGGTAAAGACATTTAAAAGCTGCTTGTGTTAACCATAATCGCCATCCCATATATCAGACCCCCAGAACTAACTCATCTTATAACTGAATATTGTGCTTTTTTTTTTTTTTTTTTTTTGAGACGAAGTCCTGCTCTGTCACCCAGGCTGGAGTGCAGTGGCGCGATCTTGACTCTGCAACCTCCGCCTCCCGGGTTCAAGCGATTCTCCTGCCTCAGCCTCCCGAGTAGCTGGGACTACAAGTGCGTGCCACCACGCCCGGCTAATTTTTGTATTTTTAGTAGAGACGGGGTTTCTCCATGTTGGTCTCAAACTCCTGGTCTCAGGTGATCCACCCGCCTTGGCCTCCCAAAGTGCTGGGATTACAGACGTGAGCCACCACACCCAGCTACTTGTGCTTTTTGACCAACATCTTCCTCTCCTACCACCCCCAGCCCCTGATAACCTCCACCTACTCTCACTTCTAGGAGATCAACTGTTCTATTTTTTTTTTTTTTTTTTTTTTTTTGAGTCTCGCTCTGCACACCCAGGCTGGAGTGCAGTGCTGCAATCTCGGATCACTGCAACCTCCGCTTTCCGGGTTCAAGCGATTCTCCTGCCTCAGCCTCCAGAGTCGCTGGGATTACTGAGCCACCGCGCCCAGCCAGAAGACCCACGCTCCCTAAGACATAACCCACACTGGTGGCCTTTGTTCTGACTTCTCACCTGTGCTCCCCACCCGCTAGAAACTGGCTTCTCTCCCCACACTTCCTCTGAAGCTGTCTGTGTGACCAACACTAATGAGCTTCCTTCCTGGAACATGCAGTGACCCTTTTCAGCCCTTCTCATTATTGCTCCCCCACAGTTGTATTTGACACGTTGACCACTTCCTCCTCGAAGGACTCACTTCTCTGGCTTTCTCGGACACTTCTTGCTACTCGTTTTCTGACGGTTACAGTACCAACAGGTTTGCAGGCACCTCCACCACCAGAGCCAATCCCAGCTACTCGGGAGGCTGAGGCAGGAGAATCGTTCAAACCCGGGAGGCAGAGGTTGCAGTGAGTCGAGATTGCGCCACTGCACTCCAGCCTGAGTGACAGACTGTGACTCCTCAAAAAAAAACAAAAACAAAAACAAAAAAACTACAGTCTTGCTCTGTCGCCCAGGATGGAATGCAGTGGTGCCATCTTGGCTCACTGCAACCTCTGCCTGCTGGGGTCTAGCGATTCTCCTGCCTCAGCCCCCCAAGGAGCTGGGACTACAGGCATGTGCCGCCACGCCTGGCTAATTTTTGTATTTTTAGTGGAGATGGGGGTTTTACCATGTTAGCCAGGTTGGTCTTGAACTCCCGACCTCATGTGATCCGCCCACCTTGGCCTCCCAAAGTGCGAGGATTACAGGCCCCCGCACCCAGCCTAGGATCCTGCACCTCTCTAGCCTAGCAGTTCTCTGCTGGGTGATTTTGCTCTCCACTCCAGGGGACATTTGGCAATGCCCATGGTAATTTTTAATTGTCATGACTTGGGGAGGGGTTCTACTGGCATCTGGTAGGTAGGGTCCAGGGGTGCTGCTCAGCTTCCTACAATGCCCAGGGCAGCCCCAGATGGCAGCAGCACCAAGGCTGAGAAACACTGGCTCATGCAGAAAGCAACCACCTTACACCCTTCAGTGCAGGGACAAAGGCAGGGTTACGAGTCCACGGAAACTCTCCAGTCTCAGCCTACGTAAGACGTGGCTATTTTTCTTTCTTATTGTTTTTATTCATTTATTTTTCTTGAGACAGAGTCTTGCTCTGTCGCCCAGGCTGGACTGCAGTGGCGCGATCTCTGCTCACTGCAAGCTCCGCCTCCCGGGATCACACCATTCTCCTGGGACTACAGGCGCCCGCCACCTAGCCCGGCTAATTTTTTGTATTTTTAGTAGAGACGGGGTTTCACCATGTTAGCCAGGATGGTCTCGATCTGACCTCGTGATCCTCCCGCCTCGGCCTCTCAAAGTGCTGGGATTACAGGTGTAAGCCACCGCACCCGGCCTTATTCATTTATTTTTTGAGATAGAGTCTGAGCCCTTTATTTTATTTATTTAGAGACCAAGTCTCGCTCTGTTACCCAGGCTGGAGTGCAGTGTCGTGGCCTCAGCTCACTGCAACAACCTCCGCCTCCCGGGTTCAAGCGATTCTCCCACCTTGGCCTCCCAAAGTGCTGGCATTACAGACACCCACTACCATGCCTGGCTAATTTTTTGTACTTTTAGTAAGTAAAGACAGGGTTTCACCATCTTGGTCAGGATGGTCTCGAACTCCTGGCCTCAAGTGATCGGCCCGCCTGGGTCTCCCAAAGTGATGAGATTACAGGCGTGAGCGACCACACTGGCCTAATGTGTAGTTTTTTATCTGTGGCCTCCCTTCTGCCCTCCCCCTTCTGAGACTCTGAAGCCCATTACATCACTCTGCCTTTGTGTACCAACAGCTTAGCTCCCACTGAGAACATACAGAGCCAGGCACGGTGGCGGTGGCTCACGCCTGTAATCCCATCACTTTGGGGGTGCTGAGGCAGGTGTATCGCCTGAGGCCAGGAGTTCAAGACCAGTCTGGCCAACATGGTGAAACCCCATCTCTACTAAAAATAGAAAAATACATAGCTGGGTGTGGTGGCACGTGCCTATAATCCCAGCTACTAGGGAGGCTGAGGTTGGAGAATCGCTTGAACCCAGGAGGCGGAGGTTGCGGTGAGCCAAGATCACACCATTGCACTCTAGCCTGGGCAACAAGAGCAAAACTGTCTTAAAAAAAAAAAAAAAAAGTGAGAACATATGGATTCTACTCCTGTTAGAATAATGGCCTCCAGCTCCATCCAAATTGCTGGAAATGACATTATTTCATTCCTTCTAATGGCTGAATAGTATTCCATGGTACATAGACACCACGTTTTCTTTATCCACTGTAGGGACCAGCCCCACAGGGTCGGTGGGTCTCTCCCTGTGTGCGGCGACGAGAGAGTGTAGAAATAAAGACACAAGACAAAGAGACAAGAGAAAAGGCAGCTGGGCCCGGGGGACCACTACCACCAATGCGCGGAGACCGGTAGTGGCCCCGAATGTCTGGCTGCGCTGTTATTTATTGGATACAAGGCAGAAGGGGCAGGGTAAAGAGTGTGAGTCACCTCCAATGATAGGTAAGGTCACGTGGGTCACGTGTCCACTGGACAGGGGGCCCTTCCCTGCCTGGCAGCCGAGGCAGAGAGGGAGAGGAGACAGAGAGAAAGACAGCTTACGCCATTATTTCTGCATATCAGGGACTATTAGTACTTTCCCTAATTTACTACTGCTATCTAGAAGGCAGAGCCAGGTGTACAGGATGGAACATGAAGGCGGACTAGGAGCGTGACCACCGAAGCACAGCATCACAGGGAGACGGTTAGGCCTCCGGATAACTGCGGGCGAGCCTGACTGATGTCAGGCCCTCCACAAGAGGTGGAGGAGCAGAGTCTTCTCTAAACTCCCCCGGGGAAAGGGAGACCCCCCCCCCCACCCGCTGCCCCTTTCCCGGTCTGCTAAGTAGCGGGTGTTGTTAATTGACACCTTTTGCTACCGCTGGACCATGATCCGCTTGGTGACGGGTGTCTTCCCAGACGCTGGCGTCACCGCTAGACCAAGGAGCCCTCTGGTGGCCCTGTCCGGGCATAACAGAAGGCTCGCACTCTTGTCTTCTGGTCACACCTCACTATGTCCCCTCAGCTCCTATCTCTGTATGGCCTGGTTTTTCCTAGGCTATGATTATAGAGTGAGGATTATTATAATATTGGAATAAAAAGTAATTGCTACCGGCTAATGATTAATGATACTCATATATAATCATATCTAAGATCTATATCTGGTATAACAATTCTTGTTTTATATTTTATTATACTGGAACAGCTCGTGTCCTCTGTCTCTTGCCTCGGTGCCTGGGTGCCTTGCCGCCCACAATCCACTCATTATTCAATGGGCACTTCGGTTGGTTCCACATCTTTGCAATTGTGAATGGCTGAGCCAGCCATTCTTAACTGGGGGTGATTTTGTCCCCATGGGGGTATCTGGCCACATCCCGAGAGGTTTTTTGGTTGTCACGAGTTGCAGTGGGGGCAGGCTCAGGCTCATCCAAGTCCAGGGGTGCTGCTATACATCACGTGATACACAGGACAGTCCTTGCTACGGACTGAATTGGTCCCACCAAACGTCATGTACAAGCCCTACCCCAGATGTGACTCTATTTGGACACAGGGCTTTTCAGAGGTAATTAAGGCTGGTCAGGCGCCGTAATCACAGCACTTTAGGAGTTCTGTGTTTATTACTGGTAAGTGGGTAAGAGCCCAGTGTGGCAGCTCACGCGTGTAATCCCAGCACTTTGGGAAGCGAAGGCAAGGGGATAACTGGAGGCCAGCAGTTCAAGACAAGCCTGGTCAATACAGCAAGACTCCATCTCTATAAAATATTTTAAAATTAGCCAAGCATGTTTGGCATGCACCTGTAATCCCAGCTCAGGAGGCTCAGGTGGGAGGATTCCTTGAGTTTAAGGCTGCAGTGAGCTAAGATCGCACCATTGCACTCCAACCCGGCTGTGGGCAACACAGCACCACCACCATCTTGGCTGGGCACGGTGGCTCACGCCTGTCATGCCAGCACTTTGGGAGGCCGAGGCGGGTGGCTCACCTGAGGTCAGGAGTTTGAGACTAGCCTGGCCAACATGGTGAAATCACGCCACTGCACTCCAGCCTAGGCAACCAAGTGAGACTCTGTCCGCCCCACCACCCCACCAAAAAAAAGACTACTATCTTAAACAAAATCAAAATTTTTAAGTAGATAAAATATTTAGGGGAAAAAAACTTCAATTAAATATGCAGCAGAGTCCGACCCAGATGTTTTCACTCCCAGCCTCTACCTACTATCTTTGTGTCTTTATTTTTAGCAAATTCTACACGGGAACTTCATGTGCATGTAGAACCCTAAATGTTGACTCAGCCCTACCTCTCATCACCTGACCACTTCCTTTATTCACGCTGTCTCTACCACCCTTCCCATCGGTGTGAGCTGTATCCCGCTAAACACTGTTACCACCCACAGCCTGCATTACTACCAGCTGACTGTAGCCTTAAACACCACAGTGATCTCGAGCATTTGAGAAGACTTATCTTGACAAGGGCTCACGAAAGACAGCAATGCTCAACAGCAAGATAAATGAGGGCCTTCATGGGATCATTCAGTGCTGAAGCCACTCAACCTCCAGGTTTGGGTTAGTAAAAAGAACTTTGTCAGGCCAGGCACAGTGGCTCACGCCTGTCATCCCAGCACTTTGGGAGGCCAAGGCGGGCAGATCACCTGAGGTCAGGAGTTCAAGACCAGCCTGGCTAACATGGTGAAACCTCGTCTTTACTAAAAATACAAAAATTAGCCAGGCATGGTGACGCACACCTCTAGTCTCAGCTACTCCGGAGGCTGGGACAGAAGACTCACTTGAACCCAGGAGGCAGAGGTTGTAGTGAGCCAAGATCGCACCACTGCACTCCAGCCTGGGCGACAGAGGCAAGACTCCATCTCAAAAAAAAAAAAAAAAAAAAAAAGAAAAGAAAACTTTGTCATACAAGCTTTCAACCTAAAGCATTAGCCATATGCCCGTGTTTTTGTGCCTGGGACCATGACAACTTTCCCCATATCAATGCTCTTATTTTTTTTTTTTCGAGACAAGAGTTTTGCTCTTATTGCCCAGGCTGGAGTGCAGTGGCACAATCTCAGCTCACCGCAAACTCCGCCTCCCGGGTTCAAGCGATTCTCCTGCCTCAGCCTCCCGAGTAGCTGGGATTACAGGCATACACCACCCCACCCGGCTAATTTTGTATTTTTAGTAGAGACGGGGTTTCTCCATGTTGAGGCTGGTCTCGAACTCCTGACCTCAGGTGATCCGCCCGCCTCGGCCTCCCAAAGTGCTGGGATTACAGGTGTGAGCCACAGCGCCTGGCTGCTCTTATTAAAATAGTCTCATCACCTACCGCAAGCGTGGAGAGCCAAGTGAGGAGAGGGGTCAGTCCCTTTTGGCAGCGCCTGGAAGCCAGTGCTAACATCATGGTGACAACTTTTCATTCTTAAGGAAAATTGCGGAGTGACTTCTATGCATTTTCTATGAATGACCAAATACAGGGTGTGGAAAAGCTGTGTTTGCCATGGCAATGGGAAGCCGAGAGAAACGGGGAGGCGAGAGAGACAGAGACATACACAGAGACTCCCAGAGACAGCCACACAGACTCACACAGAAACAGACAGACAGGCTGGGCTCGGTGGCTCACGCCTGTAATCCCACCACTCTGGGAGGCTGAGGCGGGTAGATCACCTGAGGTCAGGAGTCCGAGAACAGCCTGGCCAACATTGTGAAACCCCGTCTCTAGTAAGAATACAAAAAATTAGCCAGGCATGGTGGCACAGGGCTGTAATTCCGGCTACTCGGAAGGCTGAGGCAGGAGAATCACTTGAACCTGGGAGGCGCGGTTGCAGTGAGCTGAGATCACGCCATTGCACTCCAGCATGGGCGACAAGAGTGAAACTCCGTCTCAAAAAAAAAAACAAAAAAAAAAAACGAAAGAACAGAGAGACACATACAAAGACAGAGATAGAAACGCCCAGCGACAGAGACACACACAGAGAAACACAGACAGACACAGAGACACACACACAGAAACAGACACAGAGACAGAGAGACAAAAAGACAGACACAGAGAAACAAAGAGAGACACACAGAGACAGAGAGAGAGAGAGACACATACACACACACACAGAGAGTAGGAGGCGGCCCGTGGGAGCCGAGCAGAACCAGCGTGAGGCAGGGCCATCTTCTGAATTAAAGGCAACAGTGACTGTAAGCTTGTGCTTTGTGAGTAACAGGATAGATTAGAACAGGGCTGGCTGCCCATGGCCCACGAGCTGTTTCTGGGAAGCCTCCGCAGGTGCCAGCCAGGCCCTGCGCTGCTTCCATGTCCAAAGGCACAGCTGAGAGCTGATGAGAGACCGCGGGGCCCACAGTGCCAAGCATATGAACTATCTGGCCCGTTTGTCAATGCGTGGGTTGATCACATAAGTTATGATCACATAAGTCACAAAGACACACTGATCACATAGATGCACCTGGCAGATAGTAGACCACATGGCGCCTGAGTTAGGGAAGAAAAGAAATAGAAGAATCAACCGAATCATCCCTGAACTTCTTAGCAATACTTCCTCCTAGACAAAGCACAGAGTACCATGTTTATTGCAGGTTTGCTCCTGAGCATGTCAATAAACGCAGCTGCAACGAGAGTGCTCTAACTTTATTATCCCTGTGAGAAAGTACATAGCGTCATGTGAAGGGGGTGCGTGACTCGTGCAGAATCTCCCAAAAATAGTGAGAAAACCAGTGTCAAATCCTACCTCTCGACAGACTCTAGTGTTAACATGTGACCCTCTGACCTGCATTCATAAGACATCTTAGAGACCCGAATCCCGCTTCCTGTGTAATTCGTAGAGCGATCCCAGGCTGCTCAGCAAAAAAAGTCACAGCACGGAGGTGCCGTTGCCCCGGAAGCATTGCAATCAATAGTCAGCTTGGGATTCTTTTCTTTCACTTCCTCCAACAGCTTCTTGATTTCCAAATTAGTTTCATAGGTCTTCAACCTGGAGGGATCAGAGAACACAAATGTTCCCAGAAATTCATTCTCAACTACCCAGGATGCCTGAATATCTGTTTTCAAACACTCAAAGCAGGAAACGTTTTTGGGATTTTCTGGGGGACAGGGTCTTGCTCTGTTGCCCAGGCTGGGGTACAGTGGTGCCATCTTGGCTCTCTGCAACCTCCAGCTCCCAAGTTCAAGCAATTCTCATGCCTCAGGCTCCTGAGTAACTGTGATTACAGGTGTGCACCACCACGCTTGGCTAAGTTTTGTATTTACAGTAGAGATGGGGTTTCGACATGTTAGCCAGGCTGGTCTCGAACTTCTGGCCTCAAGTGATCCATCCACCTCGGCCTCCCAAAGCCATGGGATTACAGATGTGAGCCACAGCACCCAGTCAGAAAAGTTTTCTAAAAAGAAATTTAGACCCACACAATGGGGATCCTTATAAGTCTAAGAAAAAAAAGATTATGGCCAGGCACGGTGTCTCGCACCTGTAGTCCCAGCACTTTGGGAGGCCAAGGCAGGCAGATTGCTTGAGCTCCGCAGTTCAAGGCCAGCCTGGGCAACACGGTGAAACCCTGTCTCTACCAAAAATAGAAAAAGTTAGCCAGGAATGGTGGTGCACGCCTATAGTCCCAGCTACTCGGGAGGCGGAGGCAAGAGGATCACTTGAGCCCAGGAGGCGGAGGTTGCAACGAGCTAGAGATTGCCCTACTGCACTCCAGCCTGGTAACAGAGTAAAACATGCCTTTAAAAAATAAATTTAAAAAATAGATAATCAGGCTGGTGCACGGTGACTCACGCCTATAATTCCAGCACTTTGGGAGGCCGAGGCGGGCAGATCACCTGAGGTCAGGAATTCGAGACCAGCCTGGCCAACATAGTGAAACCCCGTCTCTACTAAAAATACAAAAATTAGCTGGGCATGGTGGCAGACAACTGTAATACCAGCTACTCAGGAGGCTGAGACAGGAGAATCGCTTTGAACCTGGGAGGCAGATGTTGCAGTGAGCCAATACCGCACCACTGTACTGCAGCCCGGGTGACAGAGCGAGACTCTGCCTCCAAATAAATAAATAAAAAATAGTGGCAAATCAAACCTTCAGTAGAACTAAGAGAATGCCAGAGTGAACCCCAGGGTTAATGATAGCAAACTTGGCTCTAACGTGGCTGCAGCATGCAAGCCTGTGTATGTGAACATGAGGGGTGGTGATTGTGGAGACACTGGCTTGCTATGTTGCCCAGGCTGGTCTCAAACTCCTGGCCTCAAACAATCCTCCCACCTTGGCCTCCCAAAGGAGGAACTGAGGAATGAGAAAAGAAATACGCCCCAAACATATGACATAAGAGACCACAGGGGGCTAGAGATTTGTCACCAATAGTCCTTGGTGGCATTACAGACCTCGGTCCCACCAACAAGAGAAGCATGACACTATTTAGCTCAAGTTTCATGATATACCCCTAAAACCTTAACCCATTTATGCCAGAGGTTACAATTATTTGAACTGCAGACGTGTGAAAAATCGTACCTTGAGCAGGATATAAATAACTCCCACATGCTTAGCGTTCCAATAATGCAACACTGGGCATCATGAAGCAGTTTACATGCGTATCATCTCTACAACTAAAATAACTCTTGAATAAGACAAGTGGGCTGTGCACAGTGGCTCACGCCTGCAATCCGGGTACTTTGTGAGGCCAAGACAGGAGGATCGTTTGAAGCCAGGAGTTTGAGAACCTCGGCAACACGGCCACACAGTGCAGCAGAGCAAAACGTTGTCTCAGAAAAGAAAAGACAAAGGCAAGAAGAAACTAAAGGTAGATTACGTTAAAATAAGTCACTGAGGCCGGGCGCGGTGGCTCACGCCTGTAATCCCAGCACTTTGGGAGGCCGAGGTGGGCAGATCACCTGAGGTCAGGAATTCGAGACCAGCCTGGCCAACATAGTGAAACCCCATCTCTACTAAAAATACAAAAAATTAGCCGGGCGTGGTGGCGGGCGCCTGTAGTCCCAGCTGCTCGGGAGGCTGAGGCAGGAGAATGGCGTGAACCCGGGAGGTGGAGCTTGCAGTGAGCCGAGATCGCACCGCTTCACTCCAGCCTGGGCGACAGAGACTGGAGTCTCTGTCTCAAAAAAAAGACAGATTCAAAAAAAAAGACAGACTCCGTCTCAAAAAAAAGACTCCGTCTCAAAAAAAAATAAAAAATACAAATAAGTCATTGAAAAGATATACACGGGTCACAACTAAGGGAGCATCTGTAGGACGATCTTCTGAAAAGCTAAGACCCAGGACAGCTCTGGGAACTACCTATTTTTGGATATAATGATTAGGGGTGTGTGTGTGTGTGTGTGTGTGCTCATGCACACACATACACACAAGCTTCCAGTCTGTACTCCAGGATGATTTAAACTCTCAGTATGCCTAGGACTAAGTGTTTTGGGGGAAAGTTGGACAATATTCAATTCACAGAGCATTTTAGAAAAGTATCTAATTTTTAAATTATCTCCTAAGCTAGGAGTGTGCTATAGAAAGATGCCTTAAGTTGATCCCTACAAAGAGTACACACACTCCCAAAAAAACTCTTCTCTGCATGGGAAATTCACCATGTGAAACAGCCATCCCAGGGCCGAGCACAGTGGCTCACGCCTGTAATCCCGGCACTTTGAGAGGCTGAGGCAGGTGGATCACCTGAGGTTGGGAGTTTGAGACCAACCTGACCAACATGGTGAAACCCCATCTCTACTAAAAACTACAAAAATTGGCCAGGTGCAGTGGCTCATGCCTGTAATCCCAGCACTTTGGGAGGCCAAGGCGAGAAGATCACCTGAGGTCAGGAGCTCGAGACCAGCCTGGCCAACATGGCAAAACCCCATCTCTACTAAAAATACAAAAATTAGCTGGGTGTGGTGGCGAGCGACTGTAATCCTAGCTACTCAGGAGGCTGAGGCAGGAGAATCACTTGAACCCAGGAGGCAGAGGTTGCACTGAGCCGAGATAGCGCCACTGCACTCCAGCCTGGGGGACAGAGAGAGACTCTGTCTTTAAAAAAAAAAAAAAAAAAAAAAAATTAGCCAGCTGTGGTGGTGTGTACCTGTAATCCCAGCTACTCAGGAGGTTGAGGCAGGAAAATCGCTTCAACCTGTGAGAAGGAGGCTGCAGTGAGTCAAGATCGCGCCACTGCACTCCAGCCTGGGCAACAGTGAGACTCCATCCCAAAAAGCAAAAACCAAAAAGGCCGGGTGCAATGGCTCACCTCTGTAATCCCACCACTTTGGGAGGCCGAGGCAGGTGGCTCACCTGAGGTCAGGAGTTCAAGACTAGCCTGGCCAACATGGTGAAACCCCTCTCTACTAAAAAATTAGCCAGGCATGGTGGCAGGCATCTGTAATTCCAGCTACTTGGGAGGCCAAGGTGGGAGAATCGCTTGAACCCAGGAGGTGGGGGTTGCAGTGAGCCAAGATCGCACCACTGCACTCCAGCCTGGGCTACAAGAACAAAACTCCGTCTCAAAAAAAAAAAAAGAAAAAGAAAAAAATTAGCTGGACATGTTGGCATGCCTCTAGGCCCAGCTACTCATGAGGCTGAGGCAGGAGAATTGCTTGAACCTGAGAGGCAGAGGTTGCGGTGAGCCAAGATTGCGCCACTGCACTCCAGCCTGAATGACAGAGCACGACTCCATCTCAAAAAAACAAAAACAAAAAACAAAACAAAACAAAACAAAAAACCCATACCTGAGTATCTTCAAGGATCCAGTTCTTTGTCTTAGAACCCCAAAGAGCTTAATTATGCCACTCTTCCACAAATGATTCTGGCCCAGGTCCAGAGTTTCAAGCTTCTGATTGCTGAGGAGAGCAGATCCAAGATGCTGACAATAGAAAGGCATGAGGGAGCAGCTCCAGAGGCTGTTGAGGAAGAACATGGAAATCCACGCATTCACTGAGCAGGTAGTGGCTCAAGCGTGTAATCCCAACACTTCGGGAGGCCAAGGCGGGTGGATCACTTGAGGCCAGGTGTTCGAGACCAGCCTTGCCAACACGGTCAAACCCCATCTCTACTAAAAATACAAAGATTAGGCAGGGCGTGGGGACAGACACCTGTAGCCCCAGCACCTTGGGAGGCCGAGGAGGGTAGATCACCTGAGGTCAGGAGTTCGAGACCAGCCAGGCCAACATGGCAAAACCCCATCTCTACAAAAAATTAGCCATGCATGGTGGTGTGTGCCTTTAATGCTAGCTACTTGGGAGGCTGAGGCACAAGAATCGCTTCAGCCTGGGAGGCGGAGGTTACAGTGAGCCCAGATTGCGCCACTGCACTCCAGCCTGGGCAATAGAATGAGACTCCATCTCACAAATATATAACATAAAATGAAAATACAAAAATTAGCCAGGTATGGTGGAACCACCTATAATTCCAGCTACTCGAGAGGCAGGAGAATCGCCTGAACCAGGAGGCAGAGGTTGTAGTTAGCCAACATATCACCACTGCATTCCAGCTTGGGTGAAAGAGTGAGACTTGGTCTCAAACAAAACAAAACAAAAAAACAAGCAGCATATTTGCTGGGGCTCCAGTAGTGAGGAAAGGCAGAGGGGAGTGAGCAGAAGAAATCCTTGTCCTCAGAGTTTTTAGTGACAGCAGACATCTCGATATGTTCTATTGAAGACAATGGATGATGGTATTAAAATAAACAGGGTAGAGGTAAGTCAAACAGAGAGGCATTGATTGGCTAGACTTATGCTGGTCATTTAAGTCCTCTTTTGGAAAGTGATATGAGGAAAGAAACTGAAGGATGGTAGATCATGAACCAGCATGCTAACTGGGGGAGGGAATCTTGTAAATAAAATACTGAGCTAGTGAGAAAGTAGAATGATTTATGGCTCATAACTTACACGAGGATCCCCCATAAGGCCCTGTAGGCCACTGTAGAAGCCTTTGGTTTTGTTTTTTTTAAGGCAGAGTTTCACTCTTGTTGCCAAGGCTGGAGTGCAATGGCGTGATCTCGGCTCACTGCAACCTCCGCCTCCTGGGTTCAAGCGATTCTCCTGCCCCAGCCTCCCGAGAATCTAGGATTACAGTCATAGCTGAGATTACAGGAACAAGACACCAGGTAATCCACCCGTTTGCATTGAGCTTTTGAGTCTTTGGAAATAAAGGTATCACGGTCTGGCTTGAGGCTTGAAATATTCCTCAGGGGGATGGGTTAAGAAACTTCAGGAGGCCAGGAATGGTGGCTCATGCCTGTAATCCCAGCACTTTGGGAGGTTGAGGCAGGTGGATCACTTGAGGTCAGGAGTTTGAGACCAGTCTGGCTAACATGGTGAAACCTGGTCTCTACTAAAAATACAAAAATTAGCTGGGTATGGTGGTGCACGCCTGTAATCCCAACTACTCAGCTCAATCAGGAGAATCGCTTGAACCTTGGAGGCTGAGGTTGCAGTGAGCCAAGATCGCACCACTGCACTCCAGCCTGGGTGACAAAGCGAGACTCTGTCTGAAAAAAGAAAAAAAGTACCCTGTGTTCTAGTGTTTTTTTTCTTTACTCTACAGCAAAGCTAAGTAGTAATGACGTGCAGATTCTCTTTGCATTAGGATTGCAGATTCTAGTTGGAAAATAGGTTGCATCCAAGAGATGCAACTGACAAACTTTGGGGAGAGAAGTGATGAAGAGCTCGCCATTCCATTTGTGGAGACTTTGCATTTTCTGGGGGTGGTATCCCACCTATGGTTCCCTGGGTTTATGAGGTGGGGCAGGCTCACTGCTTCCTGATTACTGGATCCCAGCAGAAGCAGCATGCTGCTGAAGTCCAGGTCACTGGGGGCCATTGTTATATATATTTCACTTCTCCAGGCCCTCTACCTGACTTTAGAAGTGCCCACCCACATATATTCAGTTTCTGGAGGGGTTTGATCTTAAAACTGGATCCGAAGTGATACAGTCTGAGATATTGAAAACATAGAAATTGGCCGGGCGTGGTGGCTCACGCCTGTAATCCCAGCACTTTGGAAGGCCAAGGCGGGCAGATCATGAGGTCAGGAGATCGAGACCATCCTGGCTAACACTGTGAAACCCATCTCTACTAAAAATACAAAAAAAATTAGCCAGGCACGGTGGCGGGCATCTGTAGTCCCAGCTACTCAGGAGGCTGAGGCAGGAGAATAGCGAGAACCCGGGAGGAAGAGGTTGCAGTAAGCCGAGATCGCGCCACTGCACTCCAGCCTGGGCAACTAGAACGAGGCTCCGTCTCAAAAAAAAAAAAAAAAAAAGAAAACATAGAAATTAAGGATTTCCAGATTTCCAAACACTTTAAAAATGAGGCCAGGCATGATGGCTCATGCCTGTAATCCTAGCACATTGGGAGGCCGAGGTGGGAGGATTCCTTGAGCACCAGAATTCAAAACCAGCCCGGGAAAGATGACAAGACCTCATCTCTACAGAAAACAGTTACCTGGCCATGGTAATACATGCCTGTAGAGCCAGCTACTCAGGAGGCTGAGGTGGGAGAACCGATCAAGCCTGGAAGACCGAAGCCGCAGTGAGCCGTAATCACCCCACTGCACTCCAGGCTGGGGGACAGAGCAAGACCCTGTCTCAAAAAAAGAAAGAAAGAAGAAAAAGAAAATCGCCTACCGTAGGTGTTTTAGGTTACAGTTTGGATTCTCTAATGCCTGACAGAGAATCCACAATCCACGAGCTATCTGGTTGATACTCAAGTCCAGGTTTGTGAGGCTGCAGGCTTCTTGGAGCGCCTCTGAGAGATATCTACAGCCAAGCTTGGTTATGCTGCATTGCTGTAACCTACAGGATAATCAAAGGAAGAGAAGCCTGTTATCCCTCTGGCTAACGCCCTGTGAAGCAGTTATTTCCAACACTATATACCTTCCACTTATATACTGGAATGCAGTGCTGCACTCTTGGCTCACTGCAACCTCTGCCTCCCAGGTTCAAGCGATTCTTCTGCCTCAGCCTCCCAAGTAGCTGGGATTATAGGTGCCCGCCACCTATATAACCAGACTTGGTGGTGCACGCCTGTAGTGCCAGCTACTCAGAAGACTGAGGCAGGAGAATCGCTTGAATCCGGGAGGCAGAGGCTGCAGTGAGCTGAGATCGCGCCACTGCACTCCAGCCCGGGCGACAGAGCGAGACTCCGTCTCAAGAAAACAACAACAACAACAAAAAGTATTTATATAAAACATAGGTGGCAGGTAGGAATTGACCCATGAACTGGAGCTATATACTTCCAGGTGGGCTTGCACATAAAAGCATGCAAATGGGCCGGGCACAGTGGCTCACGCCTATAATCACAGCAGTGGGAGGCCAAGACGGGCAGATCATTTGAGGTCAGGAGTTCAAGACCAGCCTGGCCAACATGGTGAAACCCCATCTCTACTAAAAAATACAAAAATCGGGCCGGGCGCGGTGGCTCAAACCTGTAATCTCAGCACTTTGGGAGACCAAGGTGGGTGAATCACAAGATCAGGAGTTCAAGACCAGCCTGGCCAAAGTGGTGAAACCCCATCTTTACTAAATACAAAAATTAGCTGGGCACGATGGCTCACACCTGTAATCTCAGCACTTTGGGAGGCTGAGGCAGACAGATCACCTGAGGTCGGGAGTTCAAGACCAGCCTAAGCAATATGGAGAAACCCGTCTCTACTAAAAATACAAAATTAGCCAGGTGTGGTGGCACATGCCTGTAATCCCAGCTACTCAGGAGGCTGAGGCAGGAGAATCTCTTGAACTGGGGAGACGGAGGTTGTGGTGAGCAGAGATTGCACCATTGCACTCCAGCCTGGGCAAGAGCGAAACTCCATCTCAAAAAAAAAAAAAAATTAGCCAGGTGTGGCGGCCCATGCCTGTAATCCTAGCTACTCAGGAGGCTGAGGTAGGAGAATTACTTGAACCCAGGAAGCGGAGGTTGCAGTGAGCCAAGATCGCACCACTGCACTCCAGCCTGGTGACAGAGAGAGACTGTTAAAAAAAAAAAAAAAACATCCAAATGGCCTTCTGATTCCATCCATTTCCAGCTCTGCCTGGGACAACAGCTTAGGCTCTGGGTTCAGACCGACCCAGGACAGGATCTGAGCCCTGGGTCACTTATTTTCTGCGTGGTTAGATTATGGAAATTTCACTTTCCCTGTCATTTTATTTCATGTTTAAGTTTTGTCTTTAACTGACACATTCTACATATATAGGGGTATAGTGTGATGTTTTGGTGCAGGTACACTTCGTATAACGATCAGGTAGGTGACTGTTTGTTTAACAATAGTTATTCTAAGCCAGGCACAGTGGCTCATGCCTGGAACGCCAGCACTTTGGGAGGCCGAGGCAGGCAGATCACTTAAGGCCAGGAGTTCAAGACCAGCCTGGCCAACATGGTGAAACCTCATCTCCACTAAAAGTGCAAAAATTAGCCAGGCATGGTGGAGGGCACCTGTAATCCCAGCTACTTGGGAGGCTGAGGCAGGAGAATCGCTTGAACCTGGGAGGCAGAAGTTGCAGTCAGCCAAGATTACACCACTGCATTCCAGTCTGGGCGACAGAGTGAGACTTCATCCAAAAAAAAAAAAATGAATCTCAGAAATGACCACTAGCTAGAATTTCTGAACAGGAACAGGTCTTCAACCCTATGCAATCTCTTGAATATTTTTCTAACCATAATTTTAATGTGAACAGGTAGCTCACGCTGGGCTTCTTTCCATATAACAAGATTCAGCCAACTATAGTTCGTGGGTCAATTCCAACCTGCCACCTATGTCTTTTACAAATAAGGATTTTTGTTGAGTTTTTTTTTGTTTTTTTCTTGAGACGGAGTCTCACTCTGTCGCCCGGGCTGGAGTGCAGTGGCGCCATCTCAGCTCACTGCAGCCTCTGCCTCCCAGATTCAAGCGATTCTCCTACCTCAGCCTTCTGAGTAGCTGGTACTATAGGCACGCACCACCAAGCCTGGTTAATTTTTGTATTTTTTAGTAGCGATGGGTTTTCACCATGTTGGCCAGGCTGGTCTCGAACCTTAGGTGATCTGCCCACCATTCACCACCTGTTCCCCAATAACCTATGGAAATAAAAGTTTAAAAAAAGGTGCCACTGGCCCTACCACATAACTCAATCTACCTCCAATAGCAGGCAGTACTATGTCATAGGAATTTGAAAGAACACACACAAAGCATCAGATCCGAGAACCAACTACTCATCTCAAATCTTCCTTCATAGCAGGAAGAGGCTCTGCTGACATGCAAATATTAACATGTTTCTACCTGTATCTGCCTGGTTTTTTTTGTTTCTTTGTTTTTTTGAGAAGGAGTCTTGTTCTGTCGCCCAGGCTGGAGTGCAGTGGTGCGATCTCGGCTCACTGCAACCTCCGCCTTCCAGGTTCACGCCATTCTCCTGTCTCATCCTCCCAAGTAGCTGGGACTACAGGCATCCGCCACCACACCTGGCTAATTTTTGGTATTTTTAGTACAGACAGGGTTTCACCATGTTAACCAGGATGGTCTCCATCTCCTGACCTCATGATCCACCCGCCTCGGCCTCCCAAAGTGCTGGGATTACAGGCATGAGCCACCACGCCTGGCCTCTGCCTGTTCTTTAATTCTTACCAGGTTTTTAAAAGTTACATTTGAAATGAATTAACAAGTACTTTCATGTCTCTCCTGCTTGAATTCATGTGCACACACACACACACCCAGCAGGGACTTACACCAAGGTCTGCAGTTTACAATCAGGGTAACTCAAGCCCTCACACAGAAACTTCACCCCTGTATCCCCAATGGGGTTCTTGGCCAAGCACAGGTGTGTCAGCTTCTTGCTGACAACCAAGACAGCAGCAAGGTCCTTGCAACTGGCTTCTGTAAGACGACAGTTTTCCAACCTGCAAAAATATGAAACAAATGGTAGAAGGATGAGAACATTTCCACAACTCCAACCTGCTCAGTGATGTCCACATGCTAGGGTACTCAGCTTCAGCCCTTCCTGTTCATCCCCTGCCCTCTGTCCTGTGGGAGTCATCATGGCCACAAAAGAGCAGGAAGGCGAGAAGGCCAAGATGCAGCGGTCCACCTGGAGCCATCACAGGACACAGGTGTTGTTTTTGAGACGGAGTCTCGCTCTGTCGCCCAGGCTGGAGTGCAGTGGCGCGATCTCGGTTCACTGCCAATCGCCGCCTCCCAGGTTTACACCATTCTGCTGACTCAGCCTCCTGAGTAGCTGGGACTACAGGCGCCCACCACACCTGGATAATTTTTTGTATTTTTTAGTAGAGACGGGGTTTCACCATGTTAGCCAGGATGGTCTCGATCTCTTGACCTCGTGATCTCCCCGCCTTGGCCTCCCAACGTGCTGGGATTACAGGCATGAGCCACCGCACCCGGCCTGTTTTTGGTATTTTTAATAGAAACAGGGTTTCACCATGTTGGCCAGGTTGGTCTCGAACTCCTGAACTCAGATGATCCGCCCACCTCTCTGCTGAGATTACAGGCAGGAGCCACCGTGCCGGGCCTGAAGCAGGTGTTTATTTCAGCAAGAGGCGCCACGTGGGTGGCGCAGTAAGTCAGGTGTTACCCTTTCTCTTCTATAGCCCCAGAACTAAACCAGAGCTGCCCATGGGAAGAGGAGACTTACGACAACATCTGCAGGAAGTGTTTTGGGCGTGTCATGGTCTTGTACAGCAACATGGCACCCTCATCCAGGAGCACATTGGCTGAGAGACGCAGGTGCTTCAGGGACTGGTTGGCTTTGAGGACATAGAAGAATTCAGCCCACTGCTCCGGGGTGGCACAGTGACCTCCCAACCTGTGAAAAGAGTGGGAAAAGTCATTCTTCTGGGAGGACAGAGTATACCCTATCAGCTTTTTTTTTTTGAGACAGAGTTTCACTCTGTTGCCCAGTCTGGAATGCAAAGGCGTGATCTCACCTCACTGCAGCCTCCGCCTCCCGGGTTCAAGCTATTCTCCTGCCTCAGCCTCCGAAGTAGCTGGGATTACAGGCATTCGCCAATTTTTGTATTTTTAGTAGAGACGGGATTTCACCATGTTGGCCACACTGGTCTTGAACTCCTGACCTCAGGTGATCCACCCACCTTGGCCTACCGAAGTACTGGGATTACAGGTGTGAGCCACCGCGCCTGGCCCAGATCAGCTTCTTCTGCTTCACTTCCCAAGACATTATGTCTTTGGTTTATCTCATTCTACTCATGCCTCCAACCCTGGCCTGAATTACTGGAGAGATCTAATGTTGCCTCTGCTTCTTCAAGTATCCCCATGGCCATTAGGGTAACATCCAGCCACTTCTCCAAGAGATTGTAATACAATTCTGTGCAATGTTTCACCAAAACGGCCTGTGTGGATGATTTTGCAGGGGGGAAAAAAAAATTTTTTTTTTGAGACAGGATCTCGCTCTGTTGCCCAGGCTGGAGTGCAGTGGCATGATCACAGGTCACCACAACCTGTCTCCTGGGCTCAAATGATCCTCCCACCTCAGCATCCACTGTAGCTGGGACTAGAAGGGGCAAATTGATGCTTAATACTCAAAATAAAAATTTTATCCTGGCCAGGCGCAGTGGTTCATGCCTGTAATCCTAGCACTTTGGGAGGCCGAGACAGGCGGATCACTTGAGGTCAGGAGTTCGAGACCAGCCTGGCCAACATGGTGAAACCCTGTCTCTATTAAAAATACAAACATTTGCCAGGCGTGGTGGTGCACGCCTGTAACCCCAGCTACTCGGGAAGCTGAGGCAGAACTGCTTGAACCCAGGAGGCGGAGGTTGCAGTGAACGAGATCGCGCCACTGCGCTCCAGCCTGGGTGACAAGAATAAAACTGTCTCAAAGAAAAAAAAAAAAAAAAAAGATTCTCATTGAGTGCAGAGAAGGTTGCATGCTCCTTATGAATACCTAACTCCTGATGATCTGAGATTGATGATCCATTCTCCTCAGGCTCCCAAAGTGCGAGGATCATGCACTCCATAGGATCAGGCACCAACGATTAGCTCCTGTGCCTGATCTGAGATCGAACAGTTTCATCCCAAAACTACCCCCAAACCCGTCTGTGGAAAAAACTGTCTTGTGCAAAACCGGCCCGCGGTGCAGAAAAGGCTGGGGGCCACTGCTCTCAATCCCAACAATTAGGCAAGGTGCAGTCAGGAATAGCATGTCCCTAAAGCTGGAACCCAGCACAGAATTCGGGGTGTTTCTTTGCATGGATAGCTGGTTATGCAACACAGAAGACAAGCTGGTGGGGGAAAGAGGAGAGGCCGACTCCCCCACACAGGCCTGTTTGAGGAATACATTCCCTGTCTGGGACGGCATCTGGAGTGGTTACCCTTTTTCCTAGATCCCCCAGCAACACGGTGCAGTGGACTCCAGGTGCTGGGGAGAGCCGTGACCGTGAGACCCACCTCAGGTACTGCAGGTTGCATTTATGATTTCTGAGCAGGTCACACAGCATCAGCATCATCGTGCGTTCCCACTCGATGTGCCCTGCCAGGGTCAGGTGCGTGAGGGTCTTCTTCCCAATGAAAGCAAGACAGAAGTCCCGGTACGCGGTGTCAGGGGTGACGTTTTTAATCCTAGGGAAAAGCAGAAGAGATTCCACTTGGAGTGATTAATACTCACATTGTGTGGAGGCATGTATAAACAAAAAGCTGTTTCACATTTAGAAATTATTAGAAGTTCTTGGCCGGGTGCAGTGGCTCGTGTCTGTAACCCCAGCACTTTGGGAGGCTGAGGCAGGAGGATAACCTGAGGTCAGGAGTCTGAGACCAACCTGGGCAACATGGTGAAACTCCATCTCTACAAAAAATAAATTAGCTGGGGCCGAGGCAGGCAGATCGCCTGAGGTCAGGAGTTCGAGACCAGCCTGGCCAACATGGGGAAGCCCCGTCTCTACTAAAAATACAAAAATTAGCTGCACATGGAGGGGCATGCTTGTAGTCCCAGGTATTCGGGAGGCTGAGGTAGGAGAATCACTTGAATCCAGGAGGCAGAGGTTGCAGTGAGCCGAGACCGCACCACTGCACTCCAGCCTGGGCAACAGAGCAAGACTCCATCTCAAAAGAAAAAAAAATTCGCCGGGTGTGGTGGCTCACGCCTGTAATCCCAGCACTTTGGGAGGCCGAGGCCGAGGCGGGTGGATCACGAGGTCAGGAGATCAAGACCATCCTGGCTAACACGGTGAAACCCCGTCTTTACTAAAATTACAAAAAACTAGCCGGGCGTGGTGGCGGGCGCCTGTAGTCCCAGCTACTCGGGAGGCTGAGGCAGGAGAATGGCATGAACCCGGGAGGCAGGGCTTGCAGTGAGCCGAGATTGCTGCACTGCACTCCAGCCTGGGGAACATAGCGAGACTGTCTCAAAAAAAAAAAAAAAAGTCAAGAAGCAGAGGATCAGGAAAAACAACTAAGGGGTACTAGGCTTAATACTTGGGTGACAAAATAATCTGTACAACAAACTCCTATGACACACGGTTACCTGTGTAACTAACCTGTACTTGTACCTACTTTTTGGTTTGTTTTGGTAACAAAACAAACCAAAAAAAAGATAGCTGGGGCCAGGCATGGTGGCTCATGCCTGTAATCCCAGCACTTTCGAAGACCGAGGCAGGCGCATCACCTTAGGTCAGGAGTTCGAGACAAGCCTGGCCAAGATGGAGAAAATTCCACCTCTACTAAAAACACAAGATTAAGTCATTGCACTCCAGCGCCTAGGTGACAGAGTGAAACTCTGTCTCAGAAAAAATAAAAAATAAAAAAGGGGCCAGGTGCAGCGGCTCATGCCTATAATCCCAGCACTTTGGAAGGCCGAGGCAGGCAAATCACCTGAGGTCAGGAGCTCGAGATCAGCCTGGGCAACACGGTGAAAACCTGTCTGTGCTAAAAGTACAAAATTAGCCGGGCAAGGTGGCACATGCCTGTAATCCCAGCTACTCGGGAGGCTGAGGCAGGAGAATTGCTTGAACCTGGGAGGTGGAGGATGCAGTGAGCTGAGATCGCGCCATTGCACTCCAGCCTGGGCAACAAGAGTAAATCTCCGTCTCACCAAAAAAAAAAAAAAAAAAAAAGACAGCTGGAAAATCCCCAAATACATGGAGATGAAACAGCACATTTCCAAATTTAAAAAACAAAAGTACAAGAAGCTTAGTCATCGTTCAGGGTCTTCCTTGCAAGATGAGCTTCTACTTACTCCACTTTCTGCAGATGACAGGTGCTACGGGTTACGTGGTCACAAAGAATCCGCACAGAAGAGTCACTCAGGAAGCTTTGTTTCACTTCCAGAAACTTGAGGTTGCTGTTTGAGCTGAAGAGAGAGCAGAAATCTGTCCAGAGGCGAAGAGAGCGAAGATCCTGCCGAGCCCAGTTCGGAATGGTTAGGTAAGTGCACCTGCAGGAGAACACACGTTCATCTCTTAGGACTAGTACCTGCATGGTGAGATGGGCATCTGCAAACCACATTTCAATGGCAAAAACCACAATTACTTTTGCACCAACCTAAAACAGTGTCTATAGTAAACAATATTGCATCACATGCTTTGCTACCAGTATAGATCTTAAGTTTTACAAAAAAAATAAAATAATAGATAAGGCTGAGTGAGGTGGCTCATGCCTGTAATCCCAACACTTTGCTAGGCCAAAGTGGGAAGATCACTTGAGCCCAGGAGTTTAAGACCAACTTGGGCTAGAAACTGAGACCCCCATCTCTACAAAAAAATAAAATAATTAACCGGGCAAGGTGGTGCACGCCCATAGTCCCAGCTACTCGGGAGGCTGAGGCAGGAGAATCACTTGAACCCGGGAGGCGGAGGTTGCAGTGAGCCAAGATCGCGCCACTGCACTCCAGCCTGGGGGACAGAGCGAGACTCCGTCTCAAAAATAAAAAGCCCCAATTCCTAATTGCCAAGTCGTGTCTCCACGTTGAACATGAAGCTGGAAAGAAGTCCAGCCAGAGGGAAATTCTGACAGTAAGCGACAGGGCAAAGGAGACGCTGGCCTCTTCCTAGTGGAGCGTGGGATGGGAAAACAGTTCTTACCTTTCAAATTCAATGTCCAGTTCAAAATCCATGTAATTCTCCAGGAACACCCCCTTTGCTACCTGCAGTGAGAGTTTCTGCAAGTCTTGACAATGCTTCAGGCTGAAGGAACAATGCATCACTTCAGAAGTATTTGTCAGGTGAATAGAAATTTCCTTGAACGGGGCCACCACCACCTTCGCCAGCTCCTCCTCCTGAGACTCATACAGGCAGCCCAAGACCTCCTTCAGGTCGGTCACGGATAAGGGCTTATTTGCATGAAGATGTGCTTTGCATTGCAGCAATTCCTGTTTGATGTCCGGTGACATCCGGCAGCCAAAAGTGGCCTCCAACTCCTTGGCTCTCTTCTCGTTAGCGAGGCCGAATAAGAAGTGTCCTACTTGAATCAGGTCGGGGTTCTTGAGTCTTTCTTCTCCGGAAAGCAGCTTCTGTACGTCCCCGATGTCCCAGGCGTGGCCGTCCCTGTCCTCCCCCTCCTCCTTCTCCAGGGCGTAGAACAGGGCAGTGAGAAACTGCTGGAAGCTGAGGTGGATGAAGGAGTAGCAGCCTTTGGAGACTCTGTCCTGGCGGAGGATGTCTCCGTCCAGGAACAGACGGAGGTCGGACTCCTGCACCCCGAGCCTTTCCAGGTCCTCTCGGTGGAACACGGACATCTGCGCCCACAGGCCCTGCGCGGCCAGGAGGCTCAGCGTCCGCAGCGCGCCCCGCAGCTGTGCGCCCTGCGGGAACCGGCTGCAGAGGAAACGCAGGAACAGCCCCGTGCGGGTGAGGCAGGTGGGGACCGGGTCCTCCCCCTTCTCCATCTGCAGCTTCAGAGTCGTGCACACAATCCAGCACACCGCGGGGGCCGAGCCCAGCTGGAACAGGGCCGCGTTGCTCCTCATTAGCTCAAAGGCACGCATGGCTTGGTCCTCGTCTCCAAAGTGTCTCAGGAAATAGGCCCTCCTGTCCTCCTCCAGGAAGCCCTCCACCCTTACGTAGATCGGCTGCTGCGCCAGGAGCTGGAGGTCCCTCAGTGCCCTGGGCCGCGTGGTGACCAGCAAGGCTGCCCTGGGTAACATCTTCCTCTTCAGCAAACTCCCCAGGAGGACGGGCACCGGCTTCTTCTTCTCCCAGTCCCCGCAGATGTCCTGGATCAGCGCCCCAGGTGGGACTTTCAGCTCATCAAGGCCATCGACCACGAACAGGATTCTCTGTGCTTGGGCTAGGATGCTTGGAATGTCATCCTGCAATTCAGGCCAGTCTTTGGAGATCAGCTCTGCAAAACTGCAGGGGCCCATGCGGCTGAGCTCCTTGCAGCTGAGGTAGAACGCGTATCTGAGCGTCGGGCTGAGGTTGCAGTCTGTCCAGTCCAGCATACACTTTTTGGCCAGCGTGGTTTTCCCCACGCCTGCGGGGCCGTGCAGCACCACCGTGTAAGGTGTTAGCTTCCTGGGTGTTCTGGGATTCAAGAATGGAATGAACCGTTGGTTTCTCAGAGTGACGTCGTCATGGAAATTGTCAATGTCTCCTTGCCAAAAGGTGTTCTTCCAGACCAAAGACTGTTTCTCCATTGAATTTCTCCATCCTTCCTTTTCACCTGCAGTGACAGCCCATAGGACAGTTGAGGTTGATGATGATGATTTTCTGAATTATTTTGTCAAGTACCAGAAATGAGGGCCAGGCACGGTGTCTCATGCTTGTAATCCCGGCACTTTGGGAGGCCAAGGTGGGTGGATCACTTGAGGTCAGGAGTTCAAGACCAGCCTGGCCAAGATAGTGAAACCCCATCTCTACTAAAAATACAAAACATTAGCTGGGGGTAGTGGCGGCCGCCTGTAATCCCGGCTACTCAGGAGGCTGAGGCAGAGAATTGCTTGAACCCGGGAGGCAGAGGTTGCAATGAGCAGAGACGGAGCCACTACACTCCAGCCTGGGCTACAGAGCAAGATTCCGTCTCAAAAAAAAAAAAAACTACCAGAAATGAATAAAACCAGGAAGAAGTGATGCACCTTGCATGCTCTCAAACACCAAACTCATGACCATAGGACCGTATTTACCCACCTGGCTTTGCTAACTCCGAGTCTTCTTCTGCATCTCCCAGCTCAGGATTATCTATTTCTTGCACCTGTCCGTCCTCTGTAAAATACTTAGATGTAAGCCTGACACAGTAATTTACACTTCGTAAATCAGACATTATTGTACATAAAGTGTCAGCCAGGCATGGTGGCTCATGCCTGTAATCACAGCACTTTGGAAGGCTGAGGTGGGCGGATCACAAGGTCAGGAGATCAAGACCAGCCTGGCCAACATGGCAAAACCCCATCTCTACTAAAAATACAAAAAAAAAAAAATTAGCCAGGTGTGGTGAAACACGCCTGTAATCCCAGCTACTCCGGAGGCTGAGATAGGAGAATCACTTGAACCCAGAGGCGGAGGTTGCAGTGAGCCCAGATCTCGCCACTGCACTCCAGCCTTACACTCCAGCCTGGGCGACAGAACGAGACTCCATCTCAAAAAAAAAAAAAAAAAAAAAAAAATGACCAGGACACCCCAGGTTCTACTTACCCATCATCTCAGCCTTTGCCATCTTACACAATTCCGTGAGATTCATCTCTTCCAAGATGTTCACAGTCGCATTCCTTATCCAATTTTCTGAGGAGGTGTTGACCAGAATTTCTGCCAGTTTCTTGCCATCAGCCTCTTCCACCTCAGACCATGGGGTCTTCTGTAGCACGTCTTCGAGGGGAAAAGCCCATAAAAGGGATTTGAAACTCTTTAATTCATCCTCGTTCAGCTGCTCCAGAAGGGTCTGCAGAGTCCACTCTAGCTGGGGCGATGTCATAGTGCTCCGAGTATGAGACCTTAGGTTAAGGCTGAAGAACTGGGGGGAAAAAAGGAAAAACAGTTCACGAGTTACCATCATTAAATGAAACCACAGTTTCCTGTGTGCCAAGAACAAGACTGTTCCTGCTGTACAGTGAGTGGTAAAATATTCCAAAGACTGAATTAAGAGACTGAAAATCTGGCCCAGCACGGTGGCTCACGCCTGCGGCCAGGAGTTCGAGACCAGCCTGGCTAACTTGGTAAAAAGAACGAACAAAAGGCTGGGCACGGTGGCTCACGCCTGTAATCCCAGCACTTTGGGAGGCCGAGGCGGATGGATCACGATATCAGGAGATCGAGACCATCCTGGCTAACACAGTGAAACCCCTGCCTCTACTAAAAAAATACAAAAAATTAGCAGGGCGTGGTGGCGGGCACCTGTAGTCCCAGCTACTCGGGAGGCTGAGGCAGGAGAATGGTGTGAACCCGGGAAGTGGAGCTTGCAGTGAGCAGAGATCTCACCATTGCACTCCAGCCTGGGCGACAGAGCGAGACTCCGTCTCAAAAAAAAAAAAAAAAAAAAAAAAAAGAATACAAAGAATGAAGGGTCAGTGGTATGCTAGGGCCAGCCCGTGCTGCCTAATGGGGGCTTCCTATATGTACCTATACCAACGTCCATGGGCTGTGATTTCACACTGATAGTACAAAATCACAAGGGGAGTGTTTATGCCACAGAAATCAGCAAACACGGCAGGGCGCGGTGGCTCACGCCTGTAATCCCAGCACTTTGGGAGGCCAAGGCGGGTGGATAACCTGAGGTCGGGAGCTCAAGACCAGCCTGACCAACACGGCGAAACCCCATCTCTACTAAAAATACAGAAATTACAGGCGGGTGCCTGTAATCCCAGCTACTCAGGAGGCCGAGACAGGAGAATCACACTTGAACCTGGGAGGTGGAGGTTGCATGATCTGAGATCACGCCATTGCACTCGAGCCTCGGCAACAAGAACAAGACTCTGTCTCAAACAAACAAAAAAACAAATCAGCAAACACTACAAACCAAGACTTCCTCGCCACCAACCCTCAGAGCCACTTGTTTAACATTTCAGCCCACCACTGAATGACACATTGAAAACAAATAGCAAGAGGACAGATATAAATATAACTGTACTGGCCGGGTATGGTGGCTCAGGCCTGGAATCCCAGCACTTTGGGAGGCTGAGGCAGGTGGATCGCCTGATGTCAGGAGTTTGAGACCCGCCTGGCCCACATGGTGAAACCCCATCTCTACTAAAAATACAAAAGCTAGCCAAGTGTAGTGGTAGGAACCTGTAATCCCAGGTACGTGGGAGGCTGAGGCAGGAGAATCGCTTGAACCCAGGAGGCGGAGGTTGCAGTGAGCTGAGATAGCGCCATTGTACTCCAGCCTGGGCAACAAGAGCGAAACTCTATCTCAAAAAAAAAAAACTTAGCCAGGCCTGGTGGAACATACCCGTAGTCCCAGATACTTGGGAGGCTGACACAGGAGGATTGTTTGAGCCTACGATTTGGAGGTTGCAGTGAGCCAGCCACTGCACGCCAGCCTGGGTGACAGAGTGAGGCCCTGTCTCAAAAGTAAGTAACTAATGGCCGGGTGCGGTGGCTCACGCCTGTAATCCCAGCACTTTGGGAGGCCGAGGCAGGCGGATCACGAGGTCAGGAGATCGAGACCATCCTGGCTAACACGGTGAAACCCCGTCTCTACTAAAAATACAAACAATTAGCCGGGCGTGGTGGCGGGCGCCTGTAGTCCCAGCTACTCGGGAGGCTGAGGCAGGAGAATGGCGGGAACCCGGGAGGCGGAGCTTGCAGTGAGCGGAGATCGCGCCACCGCACTCCAGCCTGGGCGACAGAGCGAGACTCCGTCTGGGTTGGGGGGGCGGGGGGAAGAGGCAGCCTGGAAAATAAATAACAGAAAAAGTGACTTGCCAAGCCCGGGTGCTGATAGAGGTGGACAGCTTTACCCTTGGAGGGAACAGCAAATCTTTTTCCCCAGCTGTGACGTGTGGGGAAAAGGAGGACAGATCAGACTGTTACTGTGTCTATGTAGAAAGAAATAGACATAAGAGACTCCATTTTGTTCTGTACTAAGAAAAATTCTTCTGCCTTGAGATGCTGTTAACCTGTAACCCTAGCCCCAACCCTGTGCTCCCAGAAACATGTGCTGTGTCACACGTGGGTTTAGGGCTATGCAGGATGTGCTTTGTTAAACAGATGCTTGAAGGCAGCATGCTTGTTAAAAGTCATCACCACTCTCTAATCTCAAGCACCCAGGGACACAATACACTGCGGAAGGCTGCAGGGACCTCTGCCTAGAAAAGCCAGGTATTGTCCAAAGTTTCTCCCCATGTGATAGCCTGAGATAAGGCCTCGTGGGAAGGGAAAGACCAGACCGTACCCCAGCCCGACACCCGTAAAGGGTCTGTGCTGAAGAGGATTAGTATAAGAGGAAGGCCTTTTTGCAGTTAAGAGGAAGGTATCTGTCTCCTGCTCGTCCCTGGGCAATGGAATGTCTCGGTGTAAAACCCGATGGTATGTTCCATCCACCGAGATAGGGGAAAACCGCCTTAGGGCTGGAGGTGACACATGCTGGCAGCAATACTGCTCTTTAATGCACCAGATATGTTTATGTATGAGCACATCAAGGCACAGCACATTTCCTAACCTTGTTTATGACACAGACATTTGCTCACATGTTTTCCTGCTGACCCTCTCCCCACTGTTACCCTATTGTCCTGCCACATCCCCGTCTCCGAGATGGTAGAGATAATGACCAATAAATACTGAAGGAACTCAGAGACCCGGCCGGCGCGGGTCTCCTGAGCCCACTTTTCTTTCTGTGTACTTTGTCTCTGTGTCTCTTTCTTTTCTCAGTCTCTCGTCCCACCTGACAAGAAACACCCACAGGTGTGGAGGGGCAGGCCACCCCTTCAGTGAGGTATAATTACATATATCCTATTTTAGGATGGAGCAGGAAGAGCATGAGAGCCCAGGAGTTCCAGACCAGCCTGGGCGACACAAGGAGACCTTGTCTCTATTTTTTAAGTATTTTTAAAGTAATATATACAACGTTTACTTGTCAAAGTGTACAGCATGGAGCGATGTTATATATACAGTGAAATGATTACCACAATCCAGCTAATTAACATATCCACTGCTTCATATAGTTGCCTTTCGTTTTTGCAGTGACAACGCTTGATGTACTTAGAAAAATTCAGGGTTTTTTGGCCAGGCACGGTGGCTCACGCCTGTAATCCCAGCACTATGGGAGGCCGAGGCGGGCAGATCACAAGGTGAGGAGCTCAAGACCATCCTGGCTAACACGGTGAAACCCCGTCTCTACTAAAAATACAAAAAAAAAATTAGCCGGGCATGGTGGCGGGCGCCTGTAGTCCCAGCTACTTGGGAGGCTGAGGCAGGAGAATGGCTTGAACCTGGGAGGCGGAGCTTGCAGTGAGCCAAGATCGCGCCACTGCACTCCAGCCTGGGCGAGTGAGACTCCCTCTCAAAAAAAAAAAAAAAAAGAAAAGAAAAGAAAAATTCAGGGTTTTTTTTTTCTTTTTCAGAAAGTCTTGCTCTGTCGCCCAGGCTGGAGTGCAATGGTGCGAGGCTTACCACAACCTCCTCTTCCCGGGTTCAAGCGATTCTCCTGCCTCGGCCTCCCAAGTAGCTGGGATTACAGGTATGCCCCACCACACCTAATTTTTTTTGTATTTTTAGTACAAACGGGGTTTCACCATGTTGGCCAGGCTGGTCTTGAACTCCTGACCTCAGGTGATCTGCCCACCTCAGCCTCCCAAAGTGCTGGGATTACAGGTATGAGCCACCAGGCCTGGCCAAGTATTTTTTTTCCCAAGTACATTTTTTTCTTTTTTTCTTTTTTTTGAGATGGAGTCTCCCTCTGTTGCCCAGGCTGGAGTGCAGTGGCACAATCTCGACTCACTGCAACCTCCACCTCCCAGGTTCAAGTGATTCTAGTGCCTCAGCCTCTCAAGAAGCTGGGATTACAGGCGCACCGCATCACGCCGGGCTAGTTTTTGTATTTTTAGTAGAGACAGGGTTTCTTGTTTTTTTCTGAGATGGAGTCTTGCTCTGTCACCCAGGCTGGAGTGCAGTGGCGCGATCTGGGCTCACTGCAAGCTCCGCCTCCCAGGTTCACGCCATTCTCCTGCCTCAGCCTCCCAAGTAGCTGGGACTACAGGCGCCCGCCACTATGCCCAGCTAATTTTTTTTGTATTTTTAGTAGAGATGGGGTTTCACCGTGTTAGCCAGGATGGTCTCGATCTTCTGACCTCGTGATCCGCCCGCCTCGGCCTCCCATAGTGCTGGGATTACAGGCGTGAGCCACCGCGCCCGGCCGAGACAGGGTTTCTCTATGTTGGCCAGGCTGGCCTCGAACTCCTGACCTCAGCTGATCCACCCGCCTCGGCCTCCCAAAGTGCTGGGATCACAGGCGTGAGCCACCGCATCTGGCCATTTACATTTTTTTTTTTTTTTGATGCAGCATTTCACTCTGGTTGCCCAGGCTGGAGTGCAGTGGCGCAATCTCAGCTCACCGCAACCTCCGCCTCCCGGGTTCAAGTGATTCTCCTGCCTCAGCCTCCCGAGTAGCTGGGATTACAGGCATGTGCCACCACGCCCAGCTAATTTTGTATTTTTAGTAGAGATGGGGTTTCTCCATGTTGGTCAGGCTGGTCTCAAACTCCCGGCCTCAGGTGATCTGAAAGTGCTGGGATTACAGGCGTGAGCCACCGCGCCCAGCCTACTTTTTTTTTTTTTTAAACAGGGTCTTCATCTCATCCAGGCTGGAGTGCAGTGGCTCAATCACACCTCATTGCAGCCCCCACCTCCTGGCTCAGGTGATCCTCCCACCTCACCCCACAAGTAGCTTGGACACAGCACAAGGTCTGGCCTTCTTTGTTTTTTGAGACGGAGTCGCACTCTGTCTCCCAGGCTGGAGTGCAGTGGCGCGATCTCAGCTCATTGCAACCTCCCCCTCCTAGGTTTAAGCTATTCTCCTGCCTCAACCTTCCAAGTAACTGGGATTACAGGCATGCACCACCACACCTGGCTAATTTTTGTGTTTTTAGTAGAGACAGGGTTTCACCATTTTGGGCAGGCTGGTCTCAAACTTCTGGCCTCAAGTGATCCACCCGCCTCGGCCTCCCAAAGTGTTGGGATAACAGGCATGAACCACTGTGCCTGGCCTTATATTTTTTTGTAATGACAGAGTTTTACCATGTTGCCCAGGCTAGTCTCAATCTCCTGAACTCCTCTAAACTATATTTGAATAGAAGTCCTTAAGACATTAGGCCAGGCGTGGTGGCTCACACCTGGAATCCCAGCACTTTGGGAGGCCGAGGCAGACAGATTACCTAAAGTCAGGAGTTCAAGACCAGCCTGGCCAACATGGTGAGACCCCGTCTCTACTAAAAATACAAAAATTAGCTGGGCATGGTGGCACGTGCCTGTAGTCCCAGCTACTCAGGAGGCTGAGGCAGGAGAATGGCGGGTGAACCCAGGAGGCGGAGTTTGCAGCGAACCAAGATCACGCCACTGCACTCCAGCCTGGGCGACAGAGGGAGACTCCGTCTCAAAAAAAAAAAAATCAAAGATCCTTCCAGCATCCTCGCACCAACCATTAAGGCTTGGGAAGGGCTATGGTGGAAACTCAACCAATAGCTTCTTCTCCCTTAAACGAGAAGACAAAGAAATCGATGCAAGAACCAGCACTCACCTCCCTCAGGTCAGGTCTTGCTTCCAGCCTGTGTTTCCTGCAAAGGAAACGGATAAAAAGGGGAGGTCTCTGGCCCTTGGTACGCTAGGTGGAGAGACAGCTTTCCCGCCCAGGGTGGAACCGCCCCACTGAGATTAACATTGGGTGGCTCCCAACCACTGACCTCAGGCTCACCTTGACATCACCTGGGCCCCATCCTCAGGGATTTGGCTGTAATTGGGCTTCAGTGGGCTTTGGAGAATTACGGCTTGCTGAATCTCCCCAGGTGAGATTAATGTGCAATTCCCTTCCTAGACCACCCGGGCCAGGTGTGATAGGCGACAGAACAGGAAATACACATTTTGGGTTTTGCAGGGTACCTGGCTCCCAGCTTTAAAAACTCTTGTAGAGAAAAAAAATTAAACAAAAATAAATAAAAATTAAAAAAAAAGAGGACAAAAACTCCCGTGACTTCCTAAGTTACAAATACAATAAGTCTACTTTGTGGCCAACTGTGGTGCCTCCTGCCTATAAATCCCAGCAGGCTGAGAGGCCTAGGCCAGTGGATCCCTAGGGGCCAGGAGTTTGATACCAGCCTAGGCAACATAGCAAGATGCCATCTCTTCAAAAATATTTAATAATTAGCCATGCATAGGCTGGGCGTGGTAGCTCATGCCTGTAGTCCCAGCAATTTGGGAAGCCGAGGCGGGTGGATCACCTGAGGTCAGGAGTTGGAGACCAGACTGGCCAACGTGGTGAAACTCTGTCTCTACTAAACATACAAAAAATTAGCCAGGTGTGGTGGCAGGTGCCTGTAATCCCAGCTACTCGGGAGGCTGAGACAGGACAATCACTTGAACTAGGGAGGTGGAGGGTGAGTGAGGCACGATCACGCCATTGCACTCCAGCCTGGGTGACAAGAGCAAGACTGTCTCAAAAACAAAAACAAAAAAATTAGCCATACATGATGGGCTGCACCTGTAATCCCAGCTATTCAGGAGGCTGAGGTGGGAGGATCACCTGAGCTCAGGAGTTTGAGGCTGCAGTGAGCTGTGACTGGCCATCTCACTCCAGCCTAGGCCACAGAGTGAGACCCAGTCTCAAAAAAATAAATAGATAACTGATATTTAATTTTTTTTTTTGGATGGAGTCTTGCTCTGTGGCCCAGGCTGGAGTGCAGTGGTGCAATCTCCATTCTTGCAACCTCTGCCTTCCAGGTTCAAGCAATTCTGATGCCTCAGCTTCCCAAGTAGCTGGGACTGCAGGCACATGCCACCATGCCCAACTAATTTTTTGTATTTTTAGTAGAGACAGGGTTTCACCATATTGGTCAGGCTGGTCTCAAACTCCTGATGTCAGGTGATTACAGGCATGAGCCACCGCACCTGGCCTAAAATTGTTTTTAAATAAAACAGTGTATGTTGTGGAAAGCATTCAGCACAGAATTTTGGTAGTTTAAACTGTTAATTTAATGGAAGCAAATGGTCCCACAAATGAAGATGTATATATCAGTTGCAGCATGCCATCTATAGAAATAGGCACTATGGAGGCCTGGCATGGTGGCTCACACCTGTAATCCCTGCACTTTGGAAGGCTGAGGCAGGTGGATCATCTGAGGTCAGCAGTTCGAGACCAACCTGGGCAACATGGCAAAAAACCCCTGGCTACTAAAAATAAAGAATTAGCCAGGCATGGTGGTGTGCACCTGTAATCCCAGCTACTCAGGAGGCTGAGGCGTAAGAATTGATTGAACCTGGGAGTTGGAGGTTGCCGTGAGCCGAGATTGCACCACTGCGCTCCAGCCTGGGCGACAGAGACTCCATCTTTAAAAAAAAAAAAAAAAGATGGCCAGGCGCAGTGGTTCATGAATGTAATCCCAGCACTTTGGGAGGCTGAGGCGGGAGGACTGCCTGAGTCCAGGAGTTCAAGACCAGCCTGGGCAATATGGCGAGACTCCCTCTCTGAAGAAAAAGAAAATAAAAACAATAAAAATAAATTATATTCTAGCTGACAAAAAGAGAGAGAGAGTATATTTTGTTAAAACATTTGGCCTTTAGTCCTAGAGCAGCTATGGAGAGATAAACATGAAAGAGGTATCTCTTGTTATACATACCCAGGCCCTGCAACCACACCTGAGTTTATGTAAATGAGGTGACTTTTGGAAAGCCCCTAGATAACCCCACAAGTGCGAGGGACTGGCTGCCAAAGAAACCGTCAGTGATTAGACATTGGGAACTTTCAGCCCCAGGCTCCAAGTGGCCTCCAGGGAGGGGAGAGGGGCTGAAGGTTGAATTGATTATGAACTGCCAGCTATGTGATCAGCATTGCCCACCTAAGGAATCCTCCATAAACCCCAAAAGAAAAGGGTTTGGGCCGGGTGTCCTGTGGCTCATGCCCGTAATCCCAACGCTTTGGGAGGCCTAGATGGGAGGATTGCTTGAGCCCAAGAATTCTAGGCCAGTCTGGACAAAATAGCAAGACCCTGGCTCTACAAAAAATAAAAAATTAGCCAGGCGTGGTGGAGTGCACCTGTAGACCCAGCTACTCAGGAGGCTGAGGCATGAGAATCACTTGAACGCAGGAGACAGAGGCTGCAGTGAGCTGAGATAGCGCCACTGCACTCCAGCCTGGGTGACGGAGTTAGACTGTCTCAAAAAAAAAAAAAACCAGGAAAGAGTTCAGAAGAGCTTCCTGGTTGGTGAACCCGGGTGCATTCGTGTGCCAGGACTGTGGTGCACCCCAGGTCCACAGGGACAGAAGCTCCTGCACTTCGGACTCCTCTAAACCTCCCCCTACGCATCTCTTCCTTGGCTGTTCATTTGTATCCTTTAAAATATGAAAGGGCGGGTTGCCCCTCCACACCTGTGGGCATTTCTCGTTAGGTGGAAGGAGAGACTTGGAAAAGAAAGAGACACAGACAAAGTATAGAGAAAGAAATAAGGGGACCCAGGGGACCAGCATTCAGCATATGGAGGATCCCGCCAGCTTCTGAGTTCCCTTAGTATTTATTGATCATTTTGGGGTGTTTCTCAGAGAGGGGGATGTGGCAGGGTCATAGGATAATAGTGGAGGGAAGGTCAGCAGATAAACACGTTAACAAAGGTCTCTGCATCATAGACAAGGTAAAGAACTAAGTGCTGTGCTTTAGATATGCATACACATAAACATCTCAATGCCTTACGGAGCAGTATTGCTGCCCGCATGTCCCACCTCCAGCCCTAAGGCGGTTTTCCCCTATCTCAGTATATGGAATATACAATCGGGGTTTACACCCATACATTCCATTGCCCAGGGACGAGCAGGAGACAGATGCCTTCCTCTTGTCTCAACTGCAAAGAGGTGTTCCTTCCTCTTTTACTAATCCGCCTCAGCACAGACCCTTTACTGGTGTCGGGCTGAGGGACGGTCAGGTCTTTCCCTTCCCATGAGACCATATTTCAGGCTATCACATGGGGAGAAACCCTGGACAATACCTGGCTTTCCTAGGCAGAGGTCCCTGCGGCCTTCCGCAGTGTTTGTGTCCCTGGGTACTTGAGATTAGGGAGTGGTGATGACTCTTAAGGAGCATGCTGCCTTCAAGCATTTGTTTAACAAAGCACATCTTGCACAGCCCTTAATCCATTTAACCCTGAGTGGACACAGCACATGTTTCAGAGAGCACAGGGTTGGGGGTAAGGTCATAGATTAACAGCATCTCAAGGCAGAAGAATTTGTCTTAGTACAGAACAAAATGAAGTCTCCTGTGTCTACTTCTTTCTACACAGACACAGTTACAATCTGATCTCTCTTTCTTTTCCCCACAAAAATATCCTTTGTAGACCAGGCACAGTGGCTCAGGCCTGTAATCCCAGCACTTTGGGAGGCTGAGGCAGATGGATCACTTAAGGTCAGGAGTTTGAGACCAGCCCAGCCAGCATGGTGAAACTGCGTCTCTACAAAAATACAAAAATTAGCGGGGCATGGTAGTTCAACGCCTGTAATCCCAGCTACTCGAGAGGCTGAGGCAGAATTGTTTGAACCCGGGAGGCAGAGGCAGAGGTTGCAGTGAGCCGAGGTCGCACGACTGCACTCCAGCCTGGGTGCAACAGAGTGAGACTCCATCTCAAAAAACAAAAAACAAAAACAAAAACAAAACAAAAAATGAAAACCCACTTTTAGTAAAAAAAATAAAAATGAAAAAATGTGAATCAGGCTGCACTCTGGCCCACATCCTGGCTGCTGTGTATCACGTGGCTCTAGACACTGCACTTTTGCCTCCTCATCATTGCTGTAGATAGGATTTCTGACAGCAGGGTCATTAGACGAATTTTTTTTTTTTTTTGAGACGGAGTCTCGCTCTGTCGCCCAGGCTGGAGGGCAGTGGCGCAATCTCTGCTCACTGCAAGCTCCGCCTCCCGGGTTCACACAATTCTCCTGCCTCAGCCTCCCGAATAGCTGGGACTACAGGTGCCTGCAACCATGCCTGGCTAATTTTTTTTGTATTTTTAGTAGAGACGCGGTTTCACCATGTTAGCCAGGATGGTCTCGATCTCCTGACCTCGTGATCCTCCCGCCTAGGCCTCCCAAAGTGCTGGGATTACAGGCGTGAGCCACCGCGCCCGGCCCCATTAGACAAATTTGTATCTGCACGGTTCCTACAGATAAACTCTGGGACATTAGAATTATAAGGCTTTTGTTTAAGGATGGTTTCAGATGTTTTTCAGACCTTGAATTCCAGCCAAATAGCTGACACTAACCAGTTTGAAGACCCCAGTGAGGAATGGGATCAGCATGAGAACACTGCGTCTTCATGCCCCTGTCTCCGCCAGCAGTCAGCATGGCCACACTCTGGCCCACACCAAAACACTTAAAAACCCTAGCCCCGGCCGGGTGCAGAGGCTCACACCTGTAACTCCAGCACTTTGGGAGGCCAAGGCAGGTGAATCACCTGAGGTCAAGAGTTCAAGACCAGCCTGGCCAACATAGTGAAACCCCGTTTCTACTAAAAACACAAAAAATTAGTCGGGCGTGGTAGCGGGTGCCTGTAACCCCAGCTACTCAGGAGGCTGAGGCAAGAGAATTACTTGAACCTGGGAGGCGGAGGTTGCAGTGAGCAAAGATCCTGCCACTGCACTCCAGCCTGGGTGACAAAGCAAAACTCCATCTCAAAAAAAAAAAAAACCCTAGACCCAAACTTCTGGGGGAGATGGATTGGAGGTTTCCTCCCATCTCCTCATTCCTCAGCCCTGTGATTAAACTTCCTTCTCTTCTGCAACACAGTGACCCGGCAAATTGACTCACAGCGTGCATTGGGCAACGGACCTACTGTCAGAGGCGTGTAACCAGGGCAACTCCATCTTGAATAGGAGCTGACTAAAATAAGGCTGAGACCTACCGGGCTGCATTCCCAGACAGTTAAGGCATTCTCCAAAAAAAACAAAAATGACAGGCACGGTGGCCCAGCACTTTGGGAGGCCGAGGCGGGTGGATTACCCGAAGTAGAGTTTGAGACCAGCCTGGCCAACACGGTGAAACCCCGTCTCTACTGAAAATACAAAAATTAGTCAGGCGTGGTGGCTCGTGCCTGTAATCCCACCTACTTGCGAGGCTGAGGCAGGAGAATCGCTTGAGCCGGGGAGGCGGAGGTTGCAGTAAAAAGAAAAAAAAAAGCATTCTAAGTCACAGGATGAGATAAGTCAGCACAAGATACAGGTCATAAGGACCTTGCTGATAACACAGGTAGCAATGTAGCAGGACCAGCCACAGACAAAACTCCTCAGACACCGAGTTAAAGAAGAAAGGGGTTTATCCGGCCAGGGGCATCGGCAAGACTCCCGTCTCAAGAGCCGAGATCCCCAAGTGAGCAATTCCTGTCCCTTTTAAGGGCTCACAACTCTAAGGGGGTGTGCGTGAGAGGGTCGTGATCGACTGAGCAAGCAGGGGGTACGTGACTGGGGGCTGCATGCACTGGTAATCAGATCCAAACAAAACAGGATAGGGATTTTCACAGTGCTTTTCTATACAATGTCTGTAATCTATAGATAACCGATTAGGTCAGGGGTCAATCTTTAACTACCAGGCCCAGGGTGTGGCGCCGGGCTGTCTGCTTGTGGATTTCATTCCTGGGCCGCGGGGCTGTCTGCTTGTGGATTTCATTCCTGGGGCGCGGGGCTGTCTGCTTGTGGATTTCATTTCTGCCTTTTAGTTTTTACTTTTTCTTTCTTTGGAGGTGGAAATTGGGCATAAGACAATATGAGGGGTGGTCTCCTCCCTTAGCAATAAAGAATCCAGCCAGGCCGGGCGCGGTGGCTCACACCTGTAATCCCAGCACTTTCGGGGGCTGAGGCGGGTGGATCACACGGTCAGGAGATTGAGACCATCCTGGCTAACACGGTGAAACCATCTCTACTAAAAAAAAAAAATACAAAAAATTAGCTGGGCGTGGTGGCGGGCGCCTGTAGTCCCAGCTACTCGGGAGGCTGAGGCAGGAGAACGGCGTGAACCCGGGTGATGGAGCTTGCAGTGAGCGGAGATCGCGCCACTGCACTCCAGCCTGGGTGACAGAGCGAGACTCCGTCTCAAAAAAATAAAAAATAAATAAAAATAAATAAAGCATCCAGTCAAACTCCATCAAAACCAAGATAGTGACGAGAGTAACCTCTGGTTGTCCTCACCGCTCCACTCCCAGCAGCCCCATGACAGTTTACAAATGCCATGGCAATGTCAGGAAGTTACCCTATGCTGTCTAAAAAGGGGAGGCATGAATAATCCACCCCTTGTTTAGCATATCCATAGAAATAACCATAAAAATGGGCAACCGGCCGGGCGCGGTGGTCACGCCTGTAATCCCAGCACTTTGGGAGGCCGAGGCGGGTGGATCATGAGGTCAGGAGATTGAGACCATCCTGGCTAACACGGTGAAATCCCATCTCTACTAAAAAAAAATACAACTAATTAGCTGGGTGCGGTGGCGGGCGCCTGTAGTCCCAGCTACTCGGGAGGCTGAGGCAGGAGAATGGCCTGAACCCAGGAGGCGGAGCTTGCAGTGAGCCGAGATAGTGCCACTGCACTCTGGCCTGGTGAAAGAGCGAGACTCCGTCTCAAAAAAAAAAAAAAAAAAAAAAAAGGGCAACCGAGGCCGGACGTGGTGGCTTACGCCTGTAATCCCAACACTTTGGGAGGCCGAGGCGGGCATATCACCTGAGCTCAGGAGGTCAAGATCAGCCTGGCCAACATGGTGAAACCCCATCTCTTACTAAAAATACAAAAATTAGCCAGACGTGATGGCAGGCACCTGTAATCCCAGCTACTCAGGAGGCTGAGGCAGGAGAATCACTTGAACTGAAGTGATTCAAGGCAGAGGTTTCAGTGAGCCAAGATCACGCCACTGCACTCCAGCCTGGGCGACAAGAGCAAAACTCCATCTCAAAAAAAATAAGGGCAACTAGCAGCCCTATGGGCTGCTGTCTATGGAGTAGCTATTCTTTTACTCCTTCACTTTCCTAATAAGCTTGCTTCCACTTTACTCCATAGTCTCGCCCTGAATTCTTTCTGGTATGAGATTCAAGAACCCACCATGCCCAGCTCGTCCTTACTTGCTTTTAAAAAATATCATTGGTGGCCGGGCGCGGTGGCTCACGCCTGCAATCCCAGCACTTTGGGAGGCCAAGGCTGGCGGATCACCTGAGGTCCGAAGTTTGAGACCAGCCTGACCAACATGGAGAAACCCCGTCTCTACTAAAATACAAAAAAATTAGCTGGGTGTGGTGGTGCGTGCCTGTAATCCCAGCTACTCAGGAGGCTGAGGCAGGAGAATCACTTGAACCCGGGTGGCAGAGGTTGCAGTGAGCCAAGATCATGCCATTGCACTCCAGCCTGGGCAACAAGAGTGAAACTCCGTCTCAAAAATAAATAAATAAAATCATTGGAATAATTTTCTTCTTTAGGAAGAGCAGCCTTGGGCCAGGCATGGTGGCACATGCCTGGAATCCCCGAACTTTGGGCAGCCCAGGTAGGTGGATTGCTTGAGTTCAAGAGTTCCAGACCAGCCTGGACAACATGATGAAACCTCTTCTTGATCAAATATACAGAATTTCGACTGAGCACAGTGGCTGTAAGCCCAGCATGTTGGGAAGCTGAGGTGGGTGAATCATTTGAGGTCAGACCAGCCTGACTAACATGGCGAAACCCCATCTCTACAAAAAATACAAAAGTTAGCCAGGAGGTCGTGGGCGCCTGTGGTCCCAGCTACTCGGGAGGCTGAGGCAGGAGAATGACGTGAATCCCGGAGTCGTAGGTTGCAGTGAGCCAAGATCGTGCCACTGCACTTCAGCCTGGGCGACACAGCAAGACTGAGGTTGCAGTGAGCTGTGATCCTCAACCTCCTGGGTTCAAGGGATTGTCGAGCCTCAGCCTCCCAAGTAGCTGGGATTATAGACATTCGCTCCCATGCCTGGCTAATTTTTGTATTGCAAAAATGCACTCCAGCCTAGATGACAGGACTGCACTCCAGCCTGGATGACAGAGCAAGACTGTGTCTCAAAAATAAATAAATAAATAAATAAATAGCCAACTGTGATCGTGCATGCCTGTAGTCCCAGCTACTCAGGAGGCCAAGGCAGGAGGATCACTTGAGACTGGGAGGTCATGGCTACAGTGAGCCATGATCTCGCAACTGCACTCCAGCCTGGGCAACAGAGGGAGAGAAAGGAAGGAAGGAGGGAAGGAGGGAAGGAGGGAAGGGAAGGAGGGAAAGGAAGTCAGTCTTGTGGGACAAGGAAGGAAGGAAGGAAGTCAGTCAGTCTTGTGGGACTCAGCCCTGAACCTTTGGGATCTGATGCTGTCCCCAGGTAGGGAGTGTCAGAACTAAATCAAAGGAGAGGACACCCAGCTGGTCTCTGCTGGAGAACTGGTTGTTGGTGGGGAGAAACATACATTTTTGGTGAAGTATTCTGTGTTGAGTGTGAAAGTAGGAAAAACAGGACTGGGTATGGTGGTTCATGCCTGTCATTCCAGGATTTTGGGAGGCCAAGGCAGGCGGATCACTTGAGGTCAGGACTTTGAGACCACCCTGGTGAACATGGCAAAACCCCATCTCTACTAAAAAAAAATACAAAAATTAGCTGGGCGCGGTGGCAGGTGCCTGTAATACCAGCTACTCGGGAGGCTGAGGCAGGAGAATCACTTGAACCCGGGAGGCGGAGGTTGCAGTGAGCTGAGATTGTGCCTTTGCACTCCAGCCTGGGAGACAGAGCAAGACTCTCCCTCAAAAAAAAAAAAAGGCCGGGCGCAGTGGCTCACGCCTATAATATCAGCACTTTGGGAGGCCGAGGCAGGTGGATCACTGACACCCAACACCACGCCTTCTAATTTTTTGCATTTTTAGTAGAAACGGGGTTTCACCATGTTGGCCAGGCTTGTCTCGAACTCCTGTCCTCTGGTGATCCACCTGCCTTGGCCTCCCAAAGTGCTGGAATTACAGGCGTGAACCCAGCAACTTTTCCCCCTTTTATCATACCTTAATTTGCCTCCACCACCCCCAGAAGCTCCAAGTCTCTACGCCTTTTCATTTATGTATGTATGTATTTATTTATTTATTTATTTATTTTATTTTGAGACAGGGTCTCCCTCTATCTCCCAGGCTGCAGTGCAGTGGCGTGATCTTGGCCCACTGCAACCTCCACCTCCCGGGTTCAAGTAATCCTCCTGTCTCAGCCTCCCAAGTAGCTGGGATTACAGGGCACACCACCACACCTGGCTAATTTTTGTATTTTTAGTGGAGACTGGGTTTCACCCTGTTGTCCAGGCTAGTCTCAAACTCCCGACGTCAGGTGATCCACCCATTTCGGTTCCCAAAGTGTTGAGATTACAGACCGTGAGCCACTGGGACGGACACCCCTACTCCTTTCTTCTTCTTCTTCTTTTTTTTTTTTTTTTTGAGATGGAGTCTCCCTTTGAAGCCCAGGCTGGAGTACAATGGTGCGATCTTAGCTCACTGCAGTTTCCTCCTCCCGGGTTCAAGTGATTCTCCTGCCTCAGCCTCCGGAGTAGCTGGGATTACAGGCACACACCACCACACCAGCTAATTTTTGTATTTTTAGCAGAGATGGGGTTTCACCATGTTGGCCAGGCTGGTCTCAAACTCCTGACCTCAGGTGATCCACCCACCTTGGCCTCCCAAACTGCTGGGATCACAGGCGTGAGCCACTGCACCCTACACTCTTATACTCCTTTCTGTAGCTCAGGCAGCTAGATGAGCTTCAATCATCTGGCCCTTCCTCCAGTCTCACATTTTTGTGGGACTCCTGTGCATACATAATTGAATCTGGTTTTTCTTCTGTCAAACTGTTTTGTGTCAATGTAATTCATAGCCCATCCAAAGAACCTAGGAGGGTGGAGGGAATCCATTTTCTCTCCTCCACACTGGAGGGCCATGGAGCCCAAGAGTTCAAGACTGGCCCGGTGTACAAAGTGAGACCCAGTCTCTATTTAAAAAAGATGGGGAGGGGGCCGGGCACGGTGTCTCACGCCTGTAATTCCAGCACTTTGGGAGGCCCAGGTGGGTGGATCACCTGAGGTCAGGAGTCCGAGACTAGCCTGGCCAAGGTGGTGAGACCGTGTCTTTACTAAAAATACAAAATTAGCTTGGTATGGTGGCAGGAGCCTGTAATCCCAGCTACTTGGAAGGCTAGGGCAGGAGAATCGCTTGGTTTGGGATTTTCTCCCTGAGGCACTTGCTATCTCCAGGATTATGGGTCTCAGGTGAAAGAAAGACAAAGAAGGAGAGAGAGACAGAGAGGGACAGGGAAAGAGAATTTCAGACTTATCTAACATTGACACTTAGGAGAAGTAGGGAGAAAGAGGTGGGAAAATAAAGTGGCTAGGTAAAAATGAACATGTCAGTAACAATAATAGCATTAACAATAACTAGTATTGCCGGGTGCAGTGGCTCACGCCTCTAATCCCAGCACTTTGGGACGCCGAGGTGGGCGAATCACAAGGTCAGGAGTTCAAGACCAGCCTGGCCAACATGGTGAAACCCTGTCTCTACTAAAAATACAAAAAGTTAGCTAGCTGGGCATAGTGGTGCATGCCTGTAATCCCAGCTACTCTGGAGGCTGAGGCAGGAGAATCGCTTGAACCCGGGAGGCAAAGGTTGCAGTGAGTCAAGATCAGGCCACTGCACTCCAGCCCAAGGGACAGAGTGAGACTCTGTCTCAAATAATAATAATAATAATAACTAGTGGCCAGGCACAGTGGCTCACGCCTGTAATCCCAGTGTAGCAGGACGAGCCACAGACAAAAACCTCTCAGACACCGAGTTGTAGAAGGAAGGGCTTTATTCAGCTGGGAGCATCGGCAAGCTACTGTCTTAAAATCCAAGCTCCTCGAGTGCACAGTTTCTGTCCCTTTTAAGGGCTCACAACACTAAAGACTGCGCATGAAAGGGTCATGATTGAGCAATCTAGGGGATACATAACAGGGGTTTCGTGCACTGCTGGTCAGAGAGAAAGAATAGGGCAGGGAGTTTCACAGTGTTCTTCTATACAATGCCTGGAATCTATGGATAACATCGGGTTCTAAGTCATGAGTTGATTTTTATCTACTAGGTTTACGCCAGGCAGGCCCAGGCCTGGTTTCGGGTCTGGTTTTGGGTCTGGTGCCTGGCGCCGGGCTACCTGCCTTTGGTTTCACTTCCTTGTTTTTTTCTTTTTCTTTTTTTTTTTTTTTGAGACAGAGTCTTGCTCTGTCGCTAAGGCTGGAGTGCAGTGGCACAATCTCGGCTCACTGCAAGCTCCGCCTCCTGGATTCAAGCAATTCTGCTGCCTCATCCTTCCGAGTAGCTGGGATTACAGGCGCACGCCACCATGCCCGGCTAATTTTTGTATTTTTAATAGAGACGGGGTTTCACCATGTTGGCCAGGCTGGTCTCAAACTCCTGACCTTGTGATCCACCCGCCTTGGCCTCCCAAAGTGCTGGGATTACAGGCGTGAGCCACCGTGCCCGGCCTCCTTGTTTTTTTTCTAAAACAAGTACTGAGTATAAAACAATATAAAACAATATGAGACGGTTTCTCTCTTCCCTCACCAGCACTTTGGGAGGCTGAGGCAGGTGGATCACAAGGTCAGAGTGGATAGCACTTTAGGAGGTTGAGGTGGGAGGATCCCTTGAGCCCAGGAGCTCAAGTCCAGCCTGGGCAACATAGCAAGACCCCCATTTCCAATTTTAGTGTATGTGCTGCCAAAGCAAATACTCTGAGACCCTGTTTCTACAAAAAATAAAAAAATTAAAATTAGTGCTTGGAAAAAAAAATTAGTGCTTGACCAGGAGGCAAGCACACCTCCTCATCCTCTCATGGATGTCTGTCTGTAGAAAGTAAATGGAGACAGCTTCATTTTACCCAACTGCTCCGTTTTAGGTCCGCTCCTGAGCTTCTGTTGTTCCCAGCCATGCAACCCTGGGAGCCGACTCCCGGCTGCAGAGCCTTGTCAGAAGCAGGCAATGTACACAGAGACCCAAGGCCTGGTGTAGACAGGCTTTCACAGACCTGGGCATTTTGTTGAATTGTTTTTGAATTGTGGTTTCTTATCAGTTCATCCGATACTCTGTTCTAACCACGTAGTTCCTCTTTTGGATCTCCAAACCCCTTTGCAGGTTCCATCTACCCGAACCAAACTCACTTATTCCAACAGAAGTCTGGTGTTTCTTGTTTTTTTTGTTTGTTTGTTTCTTTCGTTTTGTTTTTTGAGATGTTGTCTCCCTCTATCACCCAGGCTGGAGTGCAGTGGCGAGATCTCAGCTCACTGCAACCTCTGCTTCCCGGGTTCAAGCAATTCTCCTCCCTCAGCCTCCTGGGTAGCTGGGATTACAGGTGCCTGCCGCCACACCCAGCTAACTTTTGTATTTTTAGTAGAGACGGGATTTCACCATGTTGGCCAGGCTAGTCTCGAGCTCCTGACCTCAAGTGATCCACCCATCTCAGCCTCCCAAAGTGCTGGGATTACAGCCTTAAGCCACCGCGCTCAACCAGAAGTCTGTTTAAATCCATCCTTCTCCCCAGCCACCCATGAGTTATGTGACCTTGGGGTTGCTACTTAACATTTCAGTCTCAATTTCCTCAATAGAACAAAAGTTAGAAGAATTGTAACAAAAGATAGTTTTATTTTTATTTTTATTTTTATTTTTTGAGATGGAGTCTTGCTCTGTCACCTAGGCTGGAGTGCAGTGGTGTGATGGTGGCTCACTGCAAGCTCCGCCTCCCGGATTCACGCCATTCTCCTGCCTCAGCCTCCCAAGTAGCTGGGACTACAGGCACCCGCCACCGTGCCCAGCTAATTTTTTTAATTTTTAGTAGAGACGGGGTTTCACCGTGTTAGCCAGGATGGTCTCGATCTCCTGACCTCGTGATCCGCTTGCCTCGGCCTCCCAAAGTGCTGGGATTACAGGCGTGAGCCACCATGCCCAGCACAAAAGATAATTTCTTAATCCCATGCATTTGAGTCTTAAAAAAATATTCTATATAATTCCAAGGTCAAAGAAGAAATAACAAAGGGCATTTTTAAAAATGCTAGAACTGAGTGGTGGTGAAATTGCTGTTGAAATGTGTTTGTTGCACTGATGGAAATTTATAAATGTAAATATTTATATTAAAATATAAAATAATGGGCCAGGCATAGTGGCTCACACCTGTAATCTCAGTACTTTGGGAGGCCAAGGCGGGAGGGCCATGGAGCCCAGGAGTTCAAGACCGGCCCGGTGTACAAAGTGAGACCCAGTCTCTAGTTAAAAAAGAGGGGGAGTGGGCCAGGCACAGTGTCTCACGCCTGTAATTCCAGCACTTTGGGAGGCCAAAGCAGGTGGATCACCCGAGGTCAGGAGTCCAAGACCAGCCCGGCCAAGGTGGTGAAACCCCGTGTCTACTAAAAATACAAAATTAGCTTGGTATGGTGGCGGGAGCCTATAATCCCAGCTAGGGCAGGAGAATCACTTGAACCCGGGAGGCAGAGGTTGCAGTGAGCCAAGATCATGCCACTGCACTCCAGCCTGGGCAACAACAGAGAGACTTCATCTCTAAATAAATAAATAAATAAATAAAAGAAAATACAAATTTTTTAAAAAAGGTACTGTGGCTGGGCGTGGTGGTTCACACCTGTAATCCCAGCACTTTGGGAAGCCGAGGCAGGTGGATCTCAGATCAGGAGTTCAAGAAGAGCCTGGCCAGCATGGTGAAAACCTATCTGTACTAAAAATTAGCCTGGCATGGTGGCAGGTGCCTGTAGGAGGCTGAGGCAAGAGAATTGCTTGAGCCCCGGAGGCAGAGGTTGCAGTGAGCCGAGACCACACCACTGCACTCCAGCCTGGGCAACAGAGCGAGAGTCTGTCTCAAAAAGGAAACAAAAAAAAAAGTACCTCCAAATTATGGTAGGGTGTCCATATTAAGAAGGTAGAAAAAGGTCGGGGGAAGTGGATGCCTGTAATCCCAGAACTTTGGGAGGCTGAGGCGGGTGGATCACCTGAGGTCAGGAGTTCAAGAACAGCCTGGCCAAAAGGGTATGGTGAAACCCCATCTCTACTAGAACTACAAAATTAGCCGGGCGTGGTGGTACATGCCTGTAATCCCAGCTACACAGGAGTCTGAGGCAGGAGAATCACAGGAAACCGGCAGGCAGAGGTTGCAGTGAGCTGAGATCGCGCCATTGCACTCCAGCCTGGGCGACAAGAGCAAAACTCCATCTCAAAAAAAAAAAAAAGAAAAAATGAAAAAGAATTTATTGAAATGTGCAGTCTGAAAACTGCTCCTGCACATTTTCATTCATCCTTCCTATTCCCTCCATCCCTCAATTTTTTTTTTTTTTTTGAGACAGAGTTTCGCTCTTGTTGCCCAGGCTGGAGTGCAATGGCACGATCTCAGCTCACTGCAACCTCTGCCTCCCAGGTTCCAGCCATTTTCCTGCCTCAGCCTCCAGAATAGCTGGAATTACAGGCATCTGCCACTACGCCTGGCTAATTTTTTGTGTATTTTTAGTAGAGATGGGATTTCACCATGTTGGTCAGGCTGATCTCGAACTCCTGACCTCAGGTGATCCACCCGCCTCGGCCTCCCAAAGTGCTGGGATTACAGGCATGAATCACCACGCCCGGCCCCTCATTTTCTTTTCTTTCTTTCTTTCTTTTTTGTTTGTTTGTTTTTGAGACAGAGTCTTGCTCTGTCACCCAGGCTGGAGTGCAGTGGCGCGATCTCAGCTCACTGCAAGCTCCGCCTCCCGGGTTCACGCCATTCTCCTGCCTCAGCCTCCCGAGTAGCTGGGACTACAGGCGCCCGCCACCACGCCCGGCTAATTTTTTGTATTTTTAGTAGAGACGGGGTTTCACCGTGTTAGCCAGGATGGTCTCCATCTCCTGACCTCGTGATCCGCCCGCCTCGGCCTCCCAAAGTGCTGGGATTACAGGCGTGAGGCACCACACTGGGCCCCCTCACTTTCTTATTCTTTCTAGGATAGGCAACTGAGCGCGGCAGTGAAGAGCTGGGCTTCCGGAAGCTGACAGCTGTTTGTGATCTTCAAGACCTCAGACAGGTTTTCTAAATATGCCTTGCCTTCATTTTCTCAAGGAAAGTGAAAAATGGGTAGGATCATGGCAATCACTACTGTGTAGCAATGTTTAGAGGACTTAATAAGTAAACACAGGGTCAAGCATGGTGGCTCACACCGGAAATCCCAGCACTTTGGGAGGCCGTGGTGGGAAGATTGCTTAAGCCCATGGGGTTGAGACCAGCCTGGGCAACATAGTGAGACCTCCATCTCTATAAAAAATACAAAAATCTAGTCAGGCGTGATGGCGTATGCCTGTAGCCTTCAGTAAGCTATGATTGTGCCACTGCACACCAGCCTAGGCGACAGAGTGAGACCCTGTCTCAAAAAGAAAAAACGAAAAGAAATATAGATGTACATATACATATGTTGGTTCTAAAACATGAAAAAGGCTGGGCGCGGTGGTTCGTGCCTGCAACCCAAGCACTTTGGGAGGCCGAGGCGGGCGGATCACGAGGTCAAGAGTTTGAGACCAGCCTGGCCAACATAGTGAAACCCCATCTCTACTAAAAATACAAAAAAAAGGCTAGGCGCAGTGGCTCATGCCTGTAATCCTAGCACTTTGGGAGGCCGAGGTGAGCAGATTACCTGAGGTTGGGAGTTCAAGACCACCCTGTCCAACATGGTGAAACCCCATCTCTACTAAAAATAAGAAAATTAGCCGGGTACAGTGGCACGCGCCTGTAATCCCAGCTATTCAGGAGGCTGAGGCAGGAGAATCGCTTGAACTCTGGAGGCGGAGGTTGCAGTGAGCCAAGATTGCGCCACTGCACTCCAGCCCGGGCGACAGTGCCAGACTCAGTCTCAGAAAAAAAAAAAGCAAAACAAACAAAGAAACATGAAAAAAAGCTATAAAACCCAACTTTTTTCTTTTTTTTTTTGAGACGGAGTCTCACTCTGTCGCCCAGGGTGGAGTGCAGTGGTGCGGTCTCGGCTCACTGCAACCTCCGCCTCCTGGGTTCAAGCAATTCTCTGCTTCAGCCTCCCAAGTAGCTGGGATTACAGGCACCCGCCACCACGCCCGACTAATTTTTTGTATTTTTAGTTGAGACGGGGTTTCATCATCTTGGCCAGGCTGGTCTTGAAGTCCTGACCTCGTGATCCACCCGCCTTGGCCTCCCAAAGTGCTGGAATTACAGGCGTGAGCCACCGCGCCCGGCCAAAACCCAACTTTTTAGTCTTATTTATATGGTGTTTTTTTTTTTTTTTTTTTTTTTGAGATGGAGCCTTGCTCTGTCGCCCAGGCTGGAGTGCAGTGGCGCGATCTCGGCTCACTGCAAGCTCCGCCTCCCGGGTTCACGCCATTCTCCTGCCTCAGCCTCCCGAGTAGCTGGGACTACAGGTGCCCGCCACCACGCCCGGCTAATTTTTTGTATTTTTAGTAGAGACGGGGTTTCACCGTGTTAGCCAGGATGGTCTCGATCTCCTGACCTCGTGATCCACCTGCCTCGGCCTCCCAAAGTGCTGGGATTACAGGCGTGAGCCACTGTGCCCGGCTATATGTTTACAAAATTAATACTGCCAGCCAGGCACGGTGGCTCACGCCTGTAATCCCAGCACTTTAGGAGGCTGAGGCTGGCAGATCACCTGAGGTCAGGAGTTTGAGACCAGCCTGGCCAGCATGGCAAAACCCCGTCTCTATTGAAAAAAATACAAAAATTAACCAGGCGTTGTGGCGCATGCTTGTAATCTCAGCTACTCGGGAGGCTGAGGCAGGGGAATCACTTGAAGCCGGCAGGCGGAGGCTGCGGGGAGCCGAGATCGTGCCGTTGCACTCCAGCCTGGGGAACAGAGCAAGACTCCATTAAAAATAAAATAATAATAATACTGTGAATGTGAAACTGATGAACTTGGTGCTTTTCATGCGTCTCATAGTTGACGTGTCATTGATATTTCACTTGAAATACGGTTGGATTTTTATTAATAATATACCTGGGGTGATGGGAGAAGGTAGCCAATCACAGCTGAGGCTTCTAAGCGGTGATTCTCAGCCTCGGCCGCAATCACAATTATCTGGGACTCTCGAAAGAACTCCAGGGTCTGGGCAGTCCCAGTGTAACCAATCAAGCAGAATCTCTAGGCGTTCGTGCTTTGAAATGAGGCTCCACATAGGTAAGTTTAACAGGCAGTCAAGATGGAGGACCACAGGTGGAGATCGGGAAGCTCAGGTGAAGGACCGCCCCCCAACACCCCCCGCCCCCAAAAGACCTCTCAGTAATTCCGGTGGATACAGGAAGTGCTCAGCAACGATTACGCCCCGAGGGCCAATCACAGGGCTGCGGCCGAGAAAGAAGCCTTAATAGAGCTTTCTCAACCTGCAGCCCTCATCTCCGCCGGCGAGTAGGGCCAGGTGTTGGGAGGTGAGTAGCTCTCCGGCAGCTCTGCAACTTCATTTCTTTATTTCTCCATTCCACAGTTGGTAAAATTTCTCCTTTTATTTCATATATTTTTTTTCTGAGACGGAGTCTCGCTCTGTCGCCCAGGCTGGAGTGCAGTGGCGCGATCTCTGCTCACTGCAAGCTCCGCCTCCCGGGTTCACGCCATTCTCCTGCCTCAGCCTCCCGAGTAGCTGGGACTACAGGCGCCCGCCACCACGCCCGGCTAATTTTTTGTATTTTTAGTAGGTGGCTCACGCCTGTAATCCCAGCACTTTAGGAGGCTGAGGCTGGCAGATCACCTGAGGTCGGGAGTTTGAGACCAGCCTGGCCAGCATGGCAAAACCCCGTCTCTATTGAAAAAAATACAAAAATTAACCAGGCGTTGTGGCGCATGCTTGTAATCTCAGCTACTCGGGAGGCTGAGGCAGGGGAATCACTTGAAGCCGGCAGGCGGAGGCTGCGGGGAGCCGAGATCGTGCCGTTGCACTCCAGCCTGGGGAACAGAGCAAGACTCCATTAAAAATAAAATAATAATAATACTGTGAATGTGAAACTGATGAACTTGGTGCTTTTCATGCGTCTCATAGTTGACGTGTCATTGATATTTCACTTGAAATACGGTTGGATTTTTATTAATAATATACCTGGGGTGATGGGAGAAGGTAGCCAATCACAGCTGAGGCTTCTAAGCGGTGATTCTCAGCCTCGGCCGCAATCACAGTTATCTGGGACTCTCGAAAGAACTCCAGGGTCTGGGCAGTCCCAGTGTAACCAATCAAGCAGAATCTCTAGGCGTTCGTGCTTTGAAATGAGGCTCCACATAGGTAAGTTTAACAGGCAGTCAAGATGGAGGACCACAGGTGGAGATCCGGAAGCTCAGGTGAAGGACCGCCCCCCAACACCCCCCGCCCCCAAAAGACCTCTCAGTAATTCCGGTGGATACAGGAAGTGCTCAGCAACGATTACGCCCCGAGGGCCAATCACAGGGCTGCGGCCGAGAGAGAAGCCTTATTAGAGCTTTCTCAACCTGCAGCCCTCATCTCCGCCGGCGAGTAGGGCCAGGTGTTGGGAGGTGAGTAGCTCTCCGGCAGCTCTGCAACTTCATTTCTTTATTTCTCCATTCCACAGTTGGTAAAATTTCTCCTTTTATTTCATATATTTTTTTTCTGAGACGGAGTCTCGCTCTGTCGCCCAGGCTGGAGTGCGGTGGCGCGATCTCGGCTCACTGCAAGCTCCGCCTCCCGGGTTCAGGCCATTCTCCTGCCTCAGCCTCCCGAGTAGCTGAGACTACAGGCACCTGCCACTATGCCCAGCTAATTTTTTTGTATTTTTAGTAGAGACGGGGTTTCACCATGTTGGCCAGGCTGGTCTCAGTCCGCCTCGGCCTCCCAAGGTGCCGGGATTACAGGCGTGAGCCACCGCGCCCAGCCTTTTTTTTTTTTTTTTTTTTTTTTTTCTTCTCTTTTTTGAGGGTCTTACTCTGTTTCCCAGGCTGGAGCGCTGTGGCAGGATCTCGGCTCACTGAACCCTTGACCTCTCAGGTTCAAGCAGTCCTCACGCCTCAGCCTTTGAAGTAGCTGGGACCGTGGGAGGGTGCCACCACATCTGTTCTGGCTAATAATATTATTATTACCACTGTTTGCAGAGACTCACTAGATGTAGGGTCTTAATATGTTGCCGAAGCTGGTCTCTAACTCCTGGGCTCAAGCGATCTTCCTGCCTCAGACTCCCAAAATTCTGGGATTATAGGCAGGTGCCACCGCGCCCGGCCTAAATCTTTTCTTCTGTTAGAAATTAAGTGGTTCTGCCTGTCTCAGTGGCTCACGCCTGTAATCGCAGCGCTTTGGGAGGCCGAGGCGGGAGGATCACCTGAGGTCGGGAGTTCGAGACCAGCCTGACCAACATGTAGAAACCCCATCTCTACTAAAAATATAAAATTAGGTGGGCGTGGTAGCGCATACTTGTAATCCTAGCTACTCAGGAGGCTGAGGCAGGAGAATCACTTGAACCCGGGAAGCGGAGGTTGCGGGGAGCCTAGATCATACCATTGCTCTCCAGCCTGCGCAGCAAGAGAGAAACTGTCTCAAAAAATAAAATAAAATAAAATTCAGTGGTTCTGACTGGGGAAAGAGTAGCAGATGCTTAGATCTAGAGAGACTCTAGTTAAGGTTGGCTCATAAGAGGATAGTTGTGTGTGCTTTTATTTCTGTTCTCTTGGGGGATTTAGGATAGAGCTATAGAGAGCTCCAAAAAAAAAAATATATTGGAACAGGTCAGATGCTGTGGTTGCTGTGTGTGGAGTCCTGGGCAGTGCTAAGGTTTTGTGTCTAATGAGTCCTCTTAACAAGAAGGTATTGTTTTTTATTCACTGAGGTGAGGGAGCCTCTTAGCATCATTCTAGTCCAGCTTCCGGACCTGAGTCTTATGCAAATACCTATGCCAGTTGCCATTCTCACGCTATTCACAGCTATCATATAAAGAGGTGTTATACCCTTTCTGTAAAGTTTTTGTTGCTACTGCTATTTTTTTTTTTTTTTTTTTGAGACAAAGTCTAGCTCTGTTTCCCAGGCTGGAGTACAGTGGCGCTATCTCAGCTCACTGCAACTTCCACCTCCCAGGTTCAAGCAATTCTCGTGCCTCAGCCTTCTAAGTAGCTGGGACTACAGCCGCCTGTCACCAACCTGGCTAATTTTCGTATTTTTAGTCGATATAGGGTTTCACTATGTTGGCCAGGCTGGTCTCAAGCTCCAGACCTCAGGTGATCCTCCCACCTTGGACTCCCAAAGTGCTGTGATTACAGGCGTGAGCCACCGCACCCGGCCCTGTTGTTTTTAAAATAGAGACAGGGTCTTAAGTTGCCAGGCTGGTCTGGAACTTCTGGACTGGAGTGATCACCCACCTGAGCTTCCCAAAGTGCGGGGATTGCAAGCGTCAGCCACCACCCCCAGTGTTGTGTTTTTGTTTGTTTTACCAGGCTGGAGTGCAGTGGTGCGATCACAGCTCACTGCAGCCTTAACTTCCCTGGCTCAGGTGATCCTCCCACCTCAGCCTCCTCAGTAGCTGGGACTACAGGTGCATGCCACTATGCCCAGCACAATTTTTTTTTTTTTTGTATTTTTTTGTAGAGACAGGGTTTTGCCATGTTGCCCAGGCTGGTCTCAAACTCCAAGCAATCCTCCCACCTTGGCTTCCCAAAGTGTTTGGGGTTCCAGGTGTGAGCCATGGCCCCCCGGCCAGCTTCAGTAAAGTAAAAGCCACACACCTGTGTCCTGAGACCAGGCTCCACCACTAAGTTATCTTTAAGCCTTTTTTTTTTTTGAGACAGTTTCACTCTTGTCGCCCCAGGCTGGAGTGCAGTGGCGCCATGTCAGCTCACCACAACCTCTGCCTCCCACTCCCAGGTTCAAGCGATTCTCCTGCCTCAGCCTCCCAAGTAGCTGGAACTACAGGCACCTGCCACCACGCCCGGCTAATTTTTTGTATTTTTAGTAGAGACGGGGTTTCACTGTGTTAGCCAGGATGGTCTCGATCTCCTGACCTCACGATCCGCCCGCCTCGGCCTCCCAAAGTGCTGGGATTGCAGGCGTGAGCCACCGCGCCCGGCTGTGTGTTTGCATTATCATATTCAGCCCAGTTTTCACGAAGTTTCTTGTCTCCTGGGTGATCCACGTAGCTCCCCACTTCCTTATCTGATCTATGCTTGTCCTTTCATTGTTGTGTTACTACTTTGCTATAATGAGAGAGTGTTTTCGCTTTATAGGTTAACTTTTAGAACCTGAGCAGCCCCTCAGGGAAAACCCTGACAGTAGCTGGTTATTTTGCAATTAGAAAAACTAGCTGGGCACTGAGGCAGGTGAATCACGAGGTCAGGAGTTCGAGACCAGCCTGGCCAACTTGGTGAAACCCCCCATCTCTACTAAAAATACAAAAAAATTAGCTGGGCACAGTGGTGAATGCCTGTAATCCCAGCTACTTGGGAGGCTGAGGCAGGAGAATTGCTTGAATCCGGGAGGCAGAGGTTGTAGTGAGCCGAGATTGCAGCACTGCACTCCAGCCAGGGTGACAAAGTGAGACTCCGTCTCAAAAAAAAAAAAAAAAAAAATACAAAAAGTAGCTGAGCGTGGTGGTGGGTGCCCATAATCCCAGCTAGTCGGGAGGCTGAGGCAGGAGAACTGTTTGAACCTGGGAGGCAGAGGTTGCAGTGAGCTGAGATCGTACTACTGTACTCCAGCCTGGGCTGCAGAGTGAAACTATCTCAAAAATAAGTAAATAAAAGTAAAATGAGTTGAGGTCTTGCTCTGTTGCCCAGATGGGAGTGCAGTGGCACAATCAAGGCTCACTGCAGTTTCAGTCTCCCAGGCTCAAGCAATCCTCCCACTGCAGCCTCCTGAGTAGCTGGGACTACAGGCATGTACCACCACCCACTGCTAACTTATTTTTCATGGAGATGGGGGTCTCACTATGTTGCCCAGGCTGGGAGTTTGTTCTTGAAGAAGCAGGGTAGATGGTGAGTGTCCTTGTTCGTGGCACAGCAGGAACTGGCATTTGAGACAGGAGTGCTAATCACCATCCCTCTCCACTCCTCCCTTGATTGTCATCACAGCTCCCACGTGGGACAAGATGGTGTCTTCGGCGCAGATGGGCTTCAACCTGCAGGCTCTCCTGGAGCAGCTCAGCCAGGATGAGTTGAGCAAGTTCAAGTATCTGATCACGACCTTCTCCCTGGCACACGAGCTCCAGAAGATCCCCCACAAGGAGGTAGACAAGGCTGATGGGAAGCAACTGGTAGAAATCCTCACCACCCATTGTGACAGCTACTGGGTGGAGATGGCGAGCCTCCAGGTCTTTGAAAAGATGCACCGAATGGATCTGTCTGAGAGAGCAAAGGATGAAGTCAGAGGTGAGTGGAAATCGGTCCACACTGTGTCCTAGGAGGAAGCAGGCGTCCTCTCCAGGACTTTAGAAATTCAGAAGGCCAGGCGCGCTGGCTCACGCCTGTCGTCCCAGCCCTTTGGGAGGCTGAGGCGGTTGGACCACCTGAGGGTCAGGAGTTTGAGACCAGCCTGACCAACATGGTGATGAAACAGCATCTCTACTAAAAATACAAAAATTTGCTGGACGTGGTGGCAGACACCTGTAATCCCAGCTACTCCGGGAGGCTGAGGCAGGAGAATCACTTAAATCTAGGAGGCGGGGGTTGCTATGAGCCGAGATCACGCCATTGCACCCCAGCCTGGGCAACAAGAGCAAAATTCTGTCTCAAAAAAAAAAAGAAATGGCATTGAGGCTTGGAGAGGGACTGCTTGTTCTGAATGCAGGTGCTGGATCTTCATAAACCCTGGTGTCTGTCCTGGTCCTTATTTTCTACCTACTTCTTTTTTTTTTTTTTTTTGTCCTTTTATTTTTTTATTTTTTATTTTATTATTATTATTTTTTTTATTATACTTTAAGTTTTAGGGTACATGTGCACATTGTGCAGGTTAGTTACATATGTATACATGTGCCATGCTGGTGCGCTGCACCCACTAACTCGTCATCTAGCATTAGGTATATCTCCCAATGCTATCCCTCCCCCCTCCCCCCACCCCACCACAGTCCCCAGAGTGTGATGTTCCCCTTCCTGTGTCCATGTGATCTCATTGTTCAATTCCCACCTATGAGTGAGAATATGCGGTGTTTGGTTTTTTGTTCTTGTGATAGTTTACTGAGAATGATGGTTTCCAATTTCATCCATGTCCCTACAAAGGACATGAACTCATCATTTTTTATGGCTGCATTGTATTCCATGGTATATATGTGCCACATTTTCTTAATCCAGTCTATCATTGTTGGACATTTGGGTTGGTTCCAAGTCTTTGCTATTGTGAATAATGCTGCAATAAACATACGTGTGCATGTGTCTTTATAGCAGCATGATTTATAGTCATTTGGGTATATACCCAGTAATGGGATGGCTGGGTCAAATGGTATTTCTAGTTCTAGATCCCTGAGGAATCCCCACACCGACTTCCACAATGGTTGAACTAGTTTACAGTCCCACCAACAGTGTGAAAGTGTTCCTATTTCTCCACATCCTCTCCAGCACCTGTTGTTTCCTGACTTTTTAATGATCGCCATTCTAACTGGTGTGAGATGATATCTCATAGTGGTTTTGATTTGCATTTCTCTGATGGCCAGTGATGATGAGCATTTTTTCATGTGTTTTTTGGCTGCATAAATGTCTTCTTTTGAGAAGTGTCTGTTCATGTCGTTCGCCCACTTTTTGATGGGGTTGTTTGTTTTTTTCTTGTAAATTATTTTCTACCTATTTCTATCGCTTTCAGGTATCGTACAGTTGGCCTAACATATCTGTGGATTTAACCAATCCTAGATCAAAAATAATGGGGGCAAAGACAATTAAAAATAACAATACAATAAAATGCACATGAACTATGGTTATTTAACTCTTCTTGAGAGAGGATCTCACTCTGTCACCCAGGCTGGAATTTAGCAGCACGATCTCGGCTCACTGCAACCTCCGCCTCCCGGGTTCAAGCGATTCTCCTGCCTCAGCCTCCCGAGTAGCCGGGATTACAAGCATGTCCCACCATGCCTGGCTGATTTTTTTTTTTTTTTTTTTTGTATTCTAAATAGAGATGGGGTTTCACCATGTTAGCCAGGATAGTCTCGATGTCGTGACCTCATGATCTGCCCGCCTCGGCCTCCCAAAGTGTTGGGATTACAGGCGTGAGCCACCGCACCCAGCCAGCAAGTGCATTTAGAACTACTCTACTTTCTACCCCATAACTTTTTTTTTTGTTTGTTTGAGACAAGTCTCACTCTGTCACCCAGGATGGAGTGCAGCAGCACAATCTCAGCTTATTGCAACTCCCGCCCCCTGGGTTCAAGTGTTTCTCCTGCATCAGCCTCTTGAATAGCTAGGATTATACAGGCACCTGCCACTGTGCCTGGCTAAATTTTGTATTTTAATAGAGATGGGGTTTCACTATGTTGGCCAGGCTGGTCTTGAACTCCTGACCACGTGATCAACCCGCCTCAGCCTCCCAATGTGCTGGAATTACAGGTGTGAGCCGCCATGCCCAGCTACACTTTTTTTTGAAACGGGGTCTCGTTTTCTTGCTCAGGCTGGAGTACAATGGGGCAATCACAGCTCACTGCAGCCTTGACCTCCCAGACTTGAGCAATCCTACCACTATGGCCTCCCACCACACCTCGCTCATTCTTGTATATATATATATTTTTGTAGAGATAGGGTTTCACCATGTTGCCCAGGCTGGTCTCGAACTTCTGTGGGCTCAACCGATCCTCCTGCCTTGGCTTCCCACAGTCCTGGGATCAGAAACATGAGCCACAGTGCCTGGCCAGTGCAGCTTTATTTACAGTAACCAAGATATAGAGTCAGTCTAAGTGACCATCAGTGGATGAATAAAAAATGTGCCCGTTGGGTACCCTGCCTACTGCCTGGGTTATGAGATTGTTGGGACCCCAAGCCTTAAAAAGGAAACATGGTAGGCCGGGCACAGTGGCTCACGCCTGTAATCACAGCACTTTGGGAGGCCAAGGCGGGTGGATCACTTGAGGCCAGGAGTTTGAGACCAGTCAGGCCAATGTGGTGAAACCCTGTCTCTACTAAAAATATAAAAAAATCAGCCGGGCGTGGTGGCACACTCCTGTAGTCCCAGCTACTTGGGAGGCTGAGGCAGGAGGATTGCTTGAACCAGAGAGTCAGAGGTTGCAGTGAGCCAAGATCGTGCCACTGCGCTCCAGCCTGGGTGACAGCAAGACTCCATCTCAAAAAAAAAAAACAAACAAACATGGTATTAATTACACAATGGAATACTCCTCAACCTTAAGGAACTCCTATCTTTTTATTTAAAAATTGCCAGTTTTATTTCAGCTAGAGATCACTTTTTAGCATAATGTTTCCTGTCTTTAACAATGGGTGAGGGTTTTTTTTTTTTTTTTTTTGGTTTGGTTTGGATTTTGGTTTTGCTTTTGAGTCGAAGTTTCACTCTTGTCTCCCAGGCTAGAGTGCAATGGCGCGATCTCGGCTCACTGTGACCTCCTCCTCCCAGGTTTAAGTGATTCTCCTGCCTCAGCCTCCAGAGTAGCTGGGATTACAGGCGCCTACCACCATGCCCGCTAATTTTTGTATTTTAGTAGAGACAGGGTTTTACCATGTTGACCAGACTGGTCTCGAACTCCCGACCTCAGGTGATCTGCCCACCTCAGCCTCCCAGAGTGCTGGGATTACAGGTGTGAGCAACCATGCCCGGCCAAGGGTTTTTAACTTTAGCTGACCTCCGGAGGTTACAAGTTTGAAAACGGCAGGAGGAAACCCAGAGAGTTGTAAACTTACGAAGGTCTGGGCTCTGAAAAAGATACAAATTTTCTTTCCATGCCAATAGCGCTCACACAGACATGGTGAATGTTCCTGAAACCCGCCGGACTTTCTGTAAGAAGTGTGGCAAGCACCACCCCCACAAAGTGACACAAGGCAAGGATTCTTGGTATGCCCAGGGGAAGTAGTGTTATGACAGGAAGCAGAGTGGCTATGGTGGGCAGACTAAGCCGATTTTCCGGAAAAAGGCTAAAACTACAAAGAAGATTGTGCTAAGGCTTGAGTGCCTTGAGCCCAACTGCAGATCTAAGAATGCTGGCTATTAAAAGATACAAGCAGCCAAGCGCGGTGGCTCACGCCTGTAATCCCAACACTTTGGGAGGCCGAGGTGGGCGGATCACAAGGTCAGGAGTCTGAGACCAGCCTGGCCAAAATGGTGAAACCCCATCTCTACTAAAAATACAAAACTTAGCTGGGCATGGTGGTGTATGCCTATAGTCCCAGCTACTCAGGAAGCTGAGGCAGGAGAATCGCTTGAACCTGGGAGGCAGAGGTTGCAGTGAGCCAAGATTGTGCCACTCCAGCCTGGGCAACAGAGTGACACTCTGTCTCAAAAAAAAAAGATGCAAGCATTTTGAACTGGAAGGAGATAAGAGAAAGGAACAAGTGATCCAGTTCTAAGTGTCATCTTTTCTTTTATGAAGGCAATAAAATCTTGAGCTTATGGTAAAATGCAAAATTTTCCCCCCTTCTCCTTTTTCAGAAGCAGCTTTGAAATCCTTTAATAAAAGGAAGCCTCTATCATTAGGTAAGTTACCTCATTTATAACTTTTATTCTTCATGTGAGATCTGGGGACTCGGGCCTTTGTTTTAAGGAGAATGTGCTGAGCACTAAGAATGCAAAGAAATGCCGGACTTAGCATCCCTGCTCCCAGGGCGGAGCTGGTCTCGCAGGTGCGTAGCAGTAAGACCTGGGAAGCTGAAACACGATCGCGTTTGTTGGAAATCTATAAATACATACAAAGCGGGGAAGGGTAAGCTTGGCCTTTGAATCTGGATAAGGTAGAGACTTTTCTTTTTTGAGATGGAGGCTTGCTCTGTCACCTAGGCTGAAGTGCAGTGGTACGACCTCGGCTGACTGCAACCTCTACCTCCTGGGTTCAAGCAGTTCTCCTGCCTCAGCCTCTAGAATAGCTGGGATTACAGGTACCTGCCACCAGGCCCGGCTAATTTTTTGTGGTGTTTGTAGAGATGGGGTTTCACCATGATGGCCAGGCTGGTCTTGAACTCCTGACCTCAAGTGATCTGCCCACCTCAGCGTCCCAAAATGCTGGGATTATGGGCATGAGCCACCACCACACCCGGTTTTGTTTTTTTTTTTTTTTTTTTTTTTTTTTTTTTTTTTTTGAAACAGGGCTTCACTCTGTCACTTAGGCTGGAGTGGTGCAATCATGGTTCACTGCAGCCTTGACCTCCCAAGCTCTGGTGATCCTCCTGCCTCAGCCTCCTGAGTAGCTGGGACCACAGGCACTTGCCACCATGCCTGGCTAATTTTTTTCACTTTTTGTAGAGACAGGGTCTTGCTATGTTGCCCAGGCTGGCCTCGAATTACTAAACTCAATCAGTCCTCCTGCCTCACCCTCCCAAACTGCTGGGGTACAGGTGTGAGCCATGACACCTGGCCCTTACCAGCTACTTATATCCTGAAGATTATTATTATTTTTTTTTTTTTTGAGATAGAGTCTCTCTCTGTTGCCCAGGCTGGAGTGCAGTGGCGTGATCTCGGCTCACTGCAAGCTCCGCCTCCCGGGTTCATGCCATTCTCCTGCCTCAGCCTCCCGAGTAGCTGGGACTACAGGCGCCCACCACCACGCCTGGCTAATTTTTTTGTGTTTTTAGTAGAGACGGGGTTTCACCGTGTTAGCCAGGATGGTCTCGATCTCCTGACCTTGTGATCCGCCCGCCTCGGCCTCCCAAAGTGCTGGGATTACAGGCGTGAGCCACCGCGCCCGGCCCCTGAAGATTGTGTTTTGAGATGGGGTCTTGCTGTGTTGCTCCGGCTTGATTGCAGTGGCACAGTCATAGCTCATTGCAGCCTCAACCTTCCAGGCTCCAGAGATCCTCTTACCTCAGCCTCCTGAGTAGCTGGGACTACAGGTGTGCACTGCCACACCTGACTAATATTTGTATTTTTGGTAGGGACAGTTTCACTATGTTGCCAGATATGGTGTCAAACTCCTGGTCTCAAGTGATCCTCCCACCTTGGCCTCCCAAAGTGCTGGGATTACAGACATGATTCACCACACCTGGCCATGAAGACTTTTTTTTTTTGGACAAAGTCTCACTCTGTTGCCCAGGATGGAATGCAGTGGCATGATCTCAGCTCACTGCAACCTCTGACCTCCGCCTCCCGGTTCAAGTGATTCTCTTGCCTCAGCCTCCCGAGTAGCTGGGATTATAGGTGTCTGCCACCAAGCCCAGCTAATTTTTGTAATTTTAGTAGAGATGGGGTTTCACCATGTTGGCCAGGCTGGTCTTGAACTCCTGACCTCGTGATCCACGTGCCTCAGCCTCCCAAAGTGTTGGGATTACAGGTGTGAGTCACTGCGCCTGGTCTCATGAAGACCTTTTTTGAGACAGAGTCTTGCTCTGTCACCCAGGCTGGAGTGCAGTGGTACAATCTCACTGCAGCCTCCGCCTCCCAGGTTCAAGTGATTCTCCTGCCTTAGCCTCCCAAGTAGCTGGGATTACAGGCGCCTACCACCACGTCTGGCTAATTTTTGTATTTTTAGTAGAGACAGGGTTTCACCATGTTGGCCAGGCTGGTCTCAAACTGCTGACCTCAAATGAACTGTCTGCCTCAGCCTCACAAAGTACTGGGATTACAGGCATGAGCCACCTCACCTGGTGGTGAAGACTCTAAAGGCTCTTCTCAGATCAGCCTTTGTCCTGAATTTCACATGCCCGTGTCCAGTTCCCTCCCCAGCATCTTTTCAGGAGTTCCATGGACTCACCTCTTCATTATCCAGGGTTAAGCTGCAGATATTGTTATTAGGATTCCACCTTGTTCTCTCTCTTTTTTTTTTTTTTTTTGATACGGAGTCTCGCTTGCTCTTTTGCCAGGCTGAAGTGCAGTGGAGCGATCTTGGCTCACTGCAATCTCCGCCTCCTGGGTTCAAGCAATTCCCTTGCCTCAGCCTCGCAAGTAGCTGGGACTTACAGGTAACACACCACCATGCCCGGCTAATTTTTTGTTTTAGTAGAGACGGGGCTTCACCATGTTGGCCGGGATGGTCTCGATCTCCTGACCTCATGATCCGCCTGCCTTGGCCTCCCAAAGTGTTGGGTTACAGGCATGAGCCACCATGCCCGGCTGATTCCACCTTGTTCTTACATTCTTTCCCAGTTCATTTTAAATTTATCTACCTCATCAGAAACTAGGGGGTTAGGCCTGGCAGGCAGATCACCTGAGGTTGGGAGTTCGAGACCAGCCTGACCAACGTAGAGAAACCCTGTCTGTACTAAAAATACAAAATTAGCCAGGTATGGTGGCACATTCCTGTAATCCCAGCTACTCCGGAGGCCGAGGCAGGAGAATCACTTGAACCCAGGAGGCGGAGGTTGCAGTGAGCCGACATCACACCATTGCATTCCAGCCTGGGCAACAAGAGCAAAACTACATCTCAAAAAAAAAGAAAAACTAGGCAGTTAATCCTCAAAGCCTTTCCAGTGGCCTTATGCGTGAGTAGTTTGTGTGTGTGTGTGTGTGTGTGTGTGTGTGTGTGTGTCTTTCACACCATGTGTTCTGAACTACTTAGGAATTCTCACCAGAAAGGCACATAAACCTGGGATCATGGCCTAATGTACTTTCACTTTTACATCCAGTACCTTATCAACGTCCTTTTTAGTACCTAATCTAGGCTTCACTACTGAGACTCAGGGGTCCAACTTGAGCCATCTTGGAGTCCCACTGCCAGCACAGCAACAGGCCTGTAATGCCGCCCTTTTTCTCCAGGGATAACACGGAAAGAACGACCACCTCTAGACGTGGACGAAATGCTGGAGCGCTTCAAAACAGAAGCACAAGGTGGGTGTCAGGACCTCCAATGTTGGAGTCAGCTGAGGAAGCCCCCCGTTCTTGCTGCTATCTCCTGTTCCTTTGAAGAACCCCATCTCTCTCCAATCTTTTCCTCCACTATTCTTAATGTGCCCACTGTCTCCTGGAGAATGCCAACCTCCCTTCCGTAAGAATAGAGGGAAGAACGAACGTTGCAGAGAATTAGAACTCAGTTTGTAGAAAGTTAGGAGCACAGCGCAGAGAGTTTTTGTTTTTGTTTTTGTTTTGAGACAGTTTCTCTGTTGGCCAGGTTGGAATGCAATGGCGCGATCTCGGCTCACTGTAACCTCCACCTCCCAGGTTCAAGCGATTCTCCTGATTCTCCTGACTCAGCCTCCTGAGTAGCTGGGATTATAGGCACCTGCCACCACACCCAGCTAATTTTTTTTTTTTTTTTTGAGACGAAGTCTTGTTCTTGTCACCCAGGCTGGAGTATAGTGGCACCATCCCTGTTCACTGCAACCTCCGCCTCCCAGATTCAAGTGATTGTCCTGTCTCAGCCTCCTGAGTAGCTGGGACTACAGGTGCATGCCACCACGCCCAGCTAATTTTTTTTTGTACTTTTAGTAGAGACAGGTTTCACCATCTCATTCAGGGTGGTCTCAAACTCCTGACCTCAAGAGATCTGCTCCACCCACCCCCAAGTCTCCCGAAGTGCTGGGATTACAGGCGAGAGCCACCGTACCCGGCCTTCTTTAAATTATTTAAAAGTTGACAGGTGGCCAGGTGTGGTGGCTCTCACCTATAATCTCCCAGCACTTTGGGAGGCTGAGGCGGGTGGATCAAGAGATCGAGACCATCCTGGCCAACATGGTGAAACCCAACTCTACTAAAAACACAAAAATTAGCCGGGTGTGGTGGCACCCGCCTGTAGTCCCAGCTACTCAGGAGGCTGAGGCAGGAGAATCGCTTGAACCCGGGAGGTGGAGGTTGCAGTGAGCCAAGATTGTGCCACTGCACTCCAGCCTGGCAACAGTGCGAGACTCCATCTTAAAAAAAAAAAAAAAAAATTGACAGGCATAAATGTATTTATGGTACATTGCTCAGACAACTTTAATATAAACAACTTACAGAGAAAATTGAGTCTTTTGGGTAGGTGACTTGCCTGAGCTGACTTTGTGATAGGTTTTTTCTGTTTTTTTTGTTTTTGAAATAGAGTCTCACTCTGTCATGCAGGCTGGAGTGCAGTGGCCCCATCTTGGCTCACTGCAATCTCTGCCTCCTGGGTTCAAGGGGTCTTCCTGCCACAGCCTCCCCAGGTGCTGGGACTATAGGTGCCCACCACTATGCCTGGCTAACTTTTGTGTTTTTAGTACAGATGGGGTTTCAACAGGGTAGCCAGGTTGGTCTAGAACTCCTGACCTCAAGTGATCCACCTACCTCGGTCTCCTAAAGTGCTGGGATTACAGCTGTGAACCACCGCACCTAGCCTGTGATCAGTTTCAGATCAGCCTTGCTTACTCCACATTCCCTCTTATCTTCCTGGTAGCATTTTTGTTTTTTCTTGAGAAAGAGTTTTGCCCTTGTCGCCCAGGCTAGAGTGCAATGGTGTGATCTCGGCTCGCCACAACCTCCACCTCCCAGGTTCAAGTGATTCTGCCTCAGCCTCCCGAGTAGCTGGGATCATAGGCGCCCACCACCACATCTGGCTAATTTTTGCATTTGTTAGTTTTATTTTTAGTAGACAGGGTTTCACCATGTTGGGCAGGCTGGTCTTGAACTCCTGACCTCAGGTGATCCACCCACTTCGGCCTCCCAAAGTGCTGGGATTACAGGCATGAGCCACCGTACCTAGCCCACATTGACTTTTGATACAGCAAGTATTTCTTGCTATGGCTCTGTATAATAGAGGTGAGTAACTTGGTTGAAGGAATTGTTTGCCCTGTTCATCTCTCTAGACACGGCCAATGTCATTCCTGGCACACAATCTTTTTTTTTCTTGAGATGGAGTCTCACTCTGTTGCCCAGACTGGAGTGCAGTGGTGCAATCTTGGCCCACTGCAACCTCTGCTACCCAGGTTCAAGCGATTCTCCTGCCTCAGCCTCCCAAATAGCTGGGAGTACAGGTGTGTGCCACCACGCCCAGCTAATTTTTTGTATTTTAGTAGAGACAGGGTTTCACCGTGTTAGTCAGGATGGTCTGGATCTCCTAACCTCGTGATCCGTCCGCCTCAGCCTCCCAAAGTGCTGGGATGACAGGCGTGAGCCACTGTGCCCAGCCTAGCACACAATCTTGACAAAGAATTTCGGTGCGACTTGGGGTACTGTGGTGCCTGCTCTATCATCATGCTTCAGCAGGAAATGTGGGTGAATAGTGCCTGGTGGCATGGCAGGTAAAGAAATGTTTTGTTTTGTTTTTTTTTTTGAGACAGTCTTGCTCTGTCACCCAAGCTGGAGTGCAGTGGCGCAATCTCGGCTCACTGCAAGCTCCATCTCCCGGGTTCACGCCATTCTGCCTCAGCCTCCCCAGTAGCTGGGACTACAGGCGCCCGCCACACGCCCGGCTAATTTTTTGTATTTGTAGTAGAGACAGGGTTTCACCGTGTTAGCCAGGATGGTCTCGATCTCCTGACCTTATGATCCACCCGCCTTGGCCTCCCAAAGTGCTGGGATTACAGGCGTGAGCCACCGCGCCCAGCCGCGGGTAAAGAAATTTATGAAGACAATCGTAGGTAAAGGAAGGCAGATTTATTGGAGAAAGTAGGAAAAGACATTGGCAGAGAGACCCCAGCGGGCAGGTTGTCATGAGTAGCTCACTGCCAGGAGACCAAAGCTTCCTGCAGATTTTATAGAATAGGGCTTGGGCTGATTGATAATGTCAACAGGGGGTTTAACTTGCGGTCTTCTTTCAGCAGAAGTGTTTGATAAACTGAGGCGTTTCATGGCAAACAGGGAGTTTGTGAGCTCTGTGTGTGATCTGGCCAGGAAGGCCAAACATCTTGGGCCGTATCTCCTGGACCATAAAAGCAGACCTGGCCCAGTGCAGTGGTTCATGCCTGCAATCCCAGCACTTTGGGAGGCTGAGGTGGGTGGATCATCTGAGGTCAGCAGTTTTAGACTGGCCTGGCCAACATGGCGAAACCCCATCTCTACTAAAAATACAAAAATTAGCCTAGACGCAGTGGCACATGCCTGTAATTCCAGTTACTTGGGAAGCTGAGGCAGGAGAATCGCTTGAACCCGGGAGGCGGAGGTTGCAGTGAGCTGAGATTGCGCCACTGCACTCCAGCCTGGGCAACAGAGTGAGACTGTCTCAAACAGACCTATAGCTGACCTGTTTCCTCTTGTTTGTATGCCCTGAACCATGGAGGAAAGCTTATTTATTTATTTTATTGAGATGGAGTCTTGCTCTGTTGCCCAGGGTGGAGTGCAGTAGTGCGATCTCTTACTACAACCTCCATCTCCCAGGTTCAAGCAATTCTCGAGCCTCTTGGCCTCCCAAGTAGCTGAGATTACAGGCATGCGCCACCACGCCTGGCTAATTTTTGCATTTTTAGTAGAGATGGGGTTTCTGTGTTGGCCAGGCTGGTCTCGAACTCCTGAGCTCAAGTGATCCACCCCACCTCAGCCTCCCAAAGTTCTGGGATTATAGGCATGAGCCACCACACCTGGCCGGAAAACACATTTGTAGCTTATTTGCTTTATCTGATCCCGTGCCCCCCCTCCCCCCCGCCCCATCAGCCTGCCTCCTTTTCTCTAATTGGGACTCCACAGGAAATACACCTGATTTTGTGTCAATCTCACATGAGTTTGTATTTTGTAGCGTTTACAGAAACGAAAGGAAATGTCATCTGCCTGGGTAAAGAAGTCTTTAAAGGAAAAAAGCCAGGTCTGTACCATATCTTCCTGCAGGGAGCTTGGGATCAGATTTCTCTTTATAAACTTGAAGTCCTCTTAACTTTCCTATGTAACACAAAGCATTTATTTATGTATGTATGTATCGAGACGGAGTTTTGCTCTTGTTGCCCAGGCTGGAGTGCCGTGGCGTGATCTCGACTCACTGCAACCTCCGCCTCCCAGGTTCAAGCAATTCTCCTGCCTCAGCCTCCCGAGTAGCTGGGATTACAGGCATGCGCCACCATGACTGGCTAATTTTTTATTTTTAGTAGAGACAAGGTTTCTTCATGTTGGTCAGGCTGGTGTTGAACTCCCAATGTCAGGTGATCTGCCTGCCTCGACCTCCCAAAGGGCTGGGATTACAGGCATGAGCCACTGTGCCCGGCCAACACAAGGCATTTTGTTATTTTGGTTTTCCCTATGGGTAACTGATTGCATCCTCTCTCCCTTCCCTCCTCACCAATGATAAAGACAAAGACAATAGGTGCAGGTATATATTGAAGACGAAGTTCCGGGAGATGTGGAAGAGCTGGCCTGGAGATAGCAAAGAGGTCCAGGTTATGGCTGAGAGATACAAGATGCTGATCCCATTCAGCAACCCCAGGGTGCTTCCCGGGCCCTTCTCATACACGGTGGTGCTGTATGGTCCTGCAGGCCTTGGGAAAACCACGCTGGCCCAGAAACTAATGCTAGACTGGGCAGAGGACAACCTCATCCACAAATTCAAATATGCGTTCTACCTCAGCTGCAGGGAGCTCAGCCGCCTGGGCCCGTGCAGTTTTGCAGAGCTGGTCTTCAGGGACTGGCCTGAATTGCAGGATGACATTCCACACATCCTAGCCCAAGCACGGAAAATCTTGTTCGTGATTGACGGCTTTGATGAGCTGGGAGCCGCACCTGGGGCGCTGATCGAGGACATCTGCGGGGACTGGGAGAAGAAGAAGCCGGTGCCCGTCCTCCTGGGGAGTTTGCTGAACAGGGTGATGTTACCCAAGGCCGCCCTGCTGGTCACCACGCGGCCCAGGGCCCTGAGGGACCTCCGGATCCTGGCGGAGGAGCCGATCTACATAAGGGTGGAGGGCTTCCTGGAGGAGGACAGGAGGGCCTATTTCCTGAGACACTTTGGAGACGAGGACCAAGCCATGCGTGCCTTTGAGCTAATGAGGAGCAACGCGGCCCTGTTCCAGCTGGGCTCGGCCCCCGCGGTGTGCTGGATCGTGTGCACGACTCTGAAGCTGCAGATGGAGAAGGGGGAGGACCCGGTCCCCACCTGCCTCACCCGCACGGGGCTGTTCCTGCGTTTCCTCTGCAGCCGGTTCCCGCAGGGCGCACAGCTGCGGGGCGCGCTGCGGACGCTGAGCCTCCTGGCCGCGCAGGGCCTGTGGGCGCAGACGTCCGTGCTTCACCGAGAGGATCTGGAAAGGCTCGGGGTGCAGGAGTCCGACCTCCGTCTGTTCCTGGACGGAGACATCCTCCGCCAGGACAGAGTCTCCAAAGGCTGCTACTCCTTCATCCACCTCAGCTTCCAGCAGTTTCTCACTGCCCTGTTCTACACCCTGGAGAAGGAGGAGGAAGAGGATAGGGACGGCCACACCTGGGACATTGGGGACGTACAGAAGCTGCTTTCCGGAGTAGAAAGACTCAGGAACCCCGACCTGATCCAAGCAGGCTACTACTCCTTTGGCCTCGCTAACGAGAAGAGAGCCAAGGAGTTGGAGGCCACTTTTGGCTGCCGGATGTCACCGGACATCAAACAGGAATTGCTGCGATGCGACATAAGTTGTAAGGGTGGACATTCAACGGTGACAGACCTGCAGGAGCTCCTCGGCTGTCTGTACGAGTCTCAGGAGGAGGAGCTGGTGAAGGAGGTGATGGCTCAGTTCAAAGAAATATCCCTGCACTTAAATGCAGTAGACGTTGTGCCATCTTCATTCTGCGTCAAGCACTGTCGAAACCTGCAGAAAATGTCACTGCAGGTAATAAAGGAGAATCTCCCGGAGAATGTCACTGCGTCTGAATCAGACGCCGAGGTTGAGAGGTGAGAACCGTTTCACTCTACCAGTCGTTCCATCTTTAGCCTCATCCCATGCCCCCTTAGGAAGAGGCCAGAGCCTCCTATGCACTGTGGCTTAGGGTCAGGAATTCCCTCTTGTTGGACTCTTTGTTTGTTTTTGTTTTGAGATGGAGTCTTGCTCTGTCGCTCAGGCTGGAGCGCAGTGGCGCGATCTTGGCTCCCTGCAACCTCCGCCTCCCGGGTTCAAGTGATTCTTCTGCCTCAGCCTCCTGAGTAGCTGGGACTACAGGCGCCTGCCACCTTGCCCGGCTAATTTTTATATTTTCATTAGAGACGGGATCTCAGCATGTTGGCCAGTCTGGTCTTGAACTCCGCCTGACCTCAGGTGATCCACCTGCCTCAGCCTCCAAAGTGGGATTACAGGCATGATTCACCATGCCCGGCCCAAATATATTTTTTTAAGACAGGGTCTTGCTGTGTTGCTCAGGCTGGAGTACAGTGGTGAAATCAGCTCACTGCATCCTCAAACTTCTGGGTTCAAGTGATGTTCCTGAGTACCTGGGATGACAGGTATTAAGTGTGCACCATCATGTCCAGCTAACTTAAGTGGGGGTTTTTTTTTGTGTTTTTTTTTTTTTTTTTTTTTTTGGAAAGACAAAATCTCACTATGTTGTCCAGGCTGGTCTTGAACTCCCAAAGCACTGAGATTACAGGCATGAGTTACCACACGCCCTGCCTGAATATTTCTTATTGATATGTATAGATATGTATATTCCCAATCTTTTTTTTTTTTTTTGAGACGGAGTTTCACTCTTTTTCCCAGGTCGGAGTGAAGTGGCTCGATCTCGGCTCACTGCAACCTCCGCCCCACCAGGTTCAATGATTCTCCTGCCTCAGCCTCATGAGTAGCTGGGATTACAGCCACCCACGACCATGCCCAGCTAATTTTTGTACTTTTAGTAGAGACGGGGTTTCACCATGTTGGCCAGGCAGGTCTCGAACTCCCGACCTCAGGTGATCCACCCGCCTCAGCCTCACAAAGTGCTAGGATTATAGGCGTGAGTCACCGTGCCCGGTCTATATTCTCTATCTTTTATCAATGATGTGCTTAGCATTTTAACTTATTTTTACCCTCTATTGGATTTTTGTCTAAGAAGAATAGGTTCTTTCTCCTGTGATGCTTCTTGGGTGTTGAGTTGTCTGATGGTGGTGCTAATAAGTGATTACATGGTCCAGCTTTCAATTGTACTCATTTGTCAGGGGTATATGCCCAGAGAAACCCTAAATACTTCAGCCGTGATGGACACACATTTGGTGTAACCCTTTCTTCTCTTCCCTATAGATCCCAGGATGATCAGCACATGCTTCCTTTCTGGACGGACCTTTGTTCCATATTTGGATCAAATAAGGATCTGATGGGTCTAGCAATCAATGATAGCTTTCTCAGTGCCTCCCTAGTAAGGATCCTGTGTGAACAAATAGCCTCTGACACCTGTCATCTCCAGAGAGTGGTGTAAGTAGAAACTAATTCATGAACTCAAATCCTTAGGGTATGAAAATGGTACAATGTTAACATCGGAGCAATATTCAGATTCCTGTACTAGACTCTTAAGTGCTCGAGACACAGGGAATTGAGAGAGTCCTGTCCTTAAATTTATTTTGTGGGATAATCGTATAAAGTAATTTCTAGGGGCTGGGCATGGTGGTTCACACTTGTAATTCCAACACTTCGGGAGGCCGAGGCAGACAGATCACTTGAGGTCAGGAGTTCGAGACCAGCCTGGCCAACGTGACAAAACCCTGCCTCTACTAAAAATACAAAAATTATCCAGGCGTGGTGGCAGGCACCTGTAATATCAGCTACTTGGGAGGCTGAGGCAGGAGAATTACTTGAACCCAGGAGGCGGAGGTTGCAGTGAACCAAGATCCTGCCACTGGACTCCAGTCTGAGTGACAGAGCGAGACTGCGTCTCAAAAAAAAAAAAAAAAAAAAAGAAAAAGAAAAAAAGGGCCGGGCACAATGGCTCACGCCTGTAGTCCCAGCACTTTGGGGGCCCAAGGTGGGGGGATCACTTGAGGTCAGGAGTTCAAGACCAGCCTGGCCAAGATGGTGCAAGACCCTGTCTCTACGAAAAATACAAAAATTTGCCAGGTGTCGTGGCAGGTGCCTATAATCCCAGCTACTCCGGATGCTGAGGGTAGGAGTCGCTTGAATCCGGGAGGCAGAGTTTGCTTTGCAGTGAGCCGAGATCGCGCCACTGCACTCCAGCCTGGGCAACAGAGTGAGACTCCATCTCAAAGAAAAAAAAAATCTGTAAAGATGGACAAAAATTTAAACATGGAAAAAATAGTTCCTAAAGTTTAAATATATCGAGCCCCTGGTTTCCATTTAAGTACGATACAGGTGTACACACTAAAGATTTCACTTTCGTTCTCTTTTCCCTAGGTTCAAAAACATTTCCCCAGCTGATGCTCATCGGAACCTCTGCCTAGCTCTTCGAGGTCACAAGACTGTAACGTATCTGACCCTTCAAGGCAATGACCAGGATGATATGTTTCCCGCATTGTGTGAGGTCTTGAGACATCCAGAATGTAACCTGCGATATCTCGGGTATATCTCTTAATCATTAAAATCCTTCATCATACAAACATAAGCTACCACAAGCTTATGTGGCAATTTTGTGTAAATAAGAAAAAGTTCGTTATTCTGACTAGAAACAGTACTAAGGGCAGATGACCCAGGATGCAGCATGGGCTGAACTTGAGTTTCTACTTGCCTTGAACAGTAAACACCCTGGACAACCATACGTGAGGACCCTGAATCCAAAGAAACTCCCAGAATCTTTATCATCTTTTTTTTTTTTTTTATGAAGTCTTGCTCTGTTGCCCAGGCCAAAGTGCAATGGCACGATCTTGGCTCACTGCAACCTCTGTCTCCTGGGTTCAAGTAATTCTGCTGCCTCAGCCTCCCAAGTTGCTGGGATTACAGGCACCCGCCACCACGCCCGGCTAATTTTTGTGCATTTAGTGGAGCTGGTTTCGCCACATTGCCAGGCTGGTCTCGAACTCATGACCTCAGGTGACCTGCCCTCCTCAGGCTCCCAAAGTGCTGGGATTATAGGCATGAGCCACCATGCCCAGCCAGAGTCCTTATGTTTTGGTTTTGGTTTTGGTTTTTTCTTTTTCTTTTTTCTTTTTGAGATGGAGTCTCGCTCTGTCACCCAGGCTGGAGTGCGTTGGTATGATCTCAGGTCACTGCAGCCTCCACCTCCCAGGTTCAAGTGATTCTCCTGCCTCAGCCTCCTGAGTAGCTGGGATTACAGGTGCACACCACCACACCTGGTTAATTTTTGTATTATTAGTAGAGATGGAGTTTTACCACATTGGCCAGGCTGGTCTCGAACTCATGACCTCAGGTGATCTACCCCCCCACCCCCACCCCACCCCGCCGTCGGCCTCCCAAAGTGAGGCATGAGCCACCGTGCCCAGCCCAGAATCTTTATCTTCTATCAGAGATCATTCACTCATGGTTCATGCTTCTCCTGTATGATGATTCAGAATACCAGCTATTGACATTTTTCAAGCAAGAACCCTTCAGGAACATCAAGTTGCCCCTTTTCTGTTAGTCCTCTGGTTTGAGAGCTCTCCCCTTGGGAAGCTGTCCAGTGGCTGCCCAGGCGATGAGAACCTACATGCATCATGGGGTTCCATGAAGCCTCACTTGGCCACACTGGTGTAGTAGGTGGTCATTGGCCTCAAATTATTGCCCTGGGCCAGGCGCAGTGGCTCACGCCTGGGAGGCCGAGGTGGGTGGATCACTTGAGGTCAGGAGTTCAAGACCGGCCTGGTCAACATGGTGAAACTCTGTCTCTACTAATAATACAAAAATTAGCTGGGCATGTTGGCGCACGCCTGTAGTCCCAGCTACTCAGGAGGCTGAGGCAGGAGCATCATTTGAACCTGAGAGGCGGAGGTTGCAGTGAGCTGAGATCACACCACCGCACTCCAGTCTGGGCAACAGTGTGAGACTGTCTCAAAAAAAAAAAAAAAAATCTTGGCTGGGTGCGGTAGCTCATGCCTGTAATCCCAGCACTTTGGGAGGCCAAGGCAGGTGGATCACAAGGTCAGGAGTTCAAGACCAGCCTGGCCAACATGGTGAAACCCCACGTCTACTAAAAATACAAAAACATTAGCTGGGCATGGTGGCGCGTGCCTGTAATCCCAGCTACTCATGGAGGCTGATGCAAGAGAATTGCTTGAACCTAGGAGGCAGAGGTAGCAGTGAGCCAAGATCACGCCATTGCACTCCAGCCTGGGCAACAGAGCAAAACTCCATCTCGAGGACAGAAAAAAAATTGATTGCTCTGGCTCTACTGATACAATCTTAGGCTGCTTAATGGGATCTTAGTTGAATAGGATGCTGTACATCTTACAGGTATTGGAAGGTTGAATGAAACCAAGCCCATGCATTCAATAGTGGCTGCTATCATTACTAACCGTTGCAATTACCCTCTTTTCTTTTTGCCTGAGAATAATGGGATGCAGGGTGAGGGGGAATATTGGGTGAATTAAAGATTTGGGTCACTAATTTCTTTCTTTTTTTCTCAAGATATAGTCTTGCTCTGTCTCCTAGGCTGGAGTGCAGTGCCACAATCTTGGTTCACTGCAACCTCTGCCTCCCGGGTTCAAGTGATTCTTCTCCGTCAACCTCCCAAGTAGCTGGGATTACAGGCACCCACCTGTATTTTTGTATTTCTAGTATTTTGTATTTCTAGTAGAGACAGGGTTACGCCATGCTGGTGGCCAGGGTGGTCTCAAACTCCTGACCTCGGGCAATCCACCACACCCAGCTAATTTTTGGTATATTTAGTAGAGCCGGGGTTTCACCGTGTTGGCTGGGCTGGTCTCGAACTCCTGACCTCAAGTGACATCCATCTTCCAAAATGCTGGGATTACAGCCATGTGCCACCACGCCCAGCTAATTCTTGTATTTTTAGGAGAAATGGGGTTTCATCATGTTGTTCCGGCTGGTCTTAAACTCCTGGCCTCATGATCCACCTGCCTTGGCCTGCCAAAGTCCTGGGATTACAGGCATGAGCCACTGTGCCCAGCCACTCATTTCTTATGAATTTATTCTAACACATTTTCCGGATGAACAGGGCACCTTGAAACATAGGTTAGTGGGCTGGGTATGGTGGCTCCTGCCTGTAATCCCAGTACTTTGGGAGGCCTAGGCTGGTGTATCGCTTGAAGTCAGGAGTTTTTTGTTTTGAGACGGAGTCTTGCTCTGTCGCCCAGGCTAGAGTGCAGTGGAGTGATCTCGGCTTACTGCAACCTCCGCCTCCTGGGTTCAAGTGATTCTCTTGCCTCAGCCTCCTGAGTAGCTGGGACTACAGGCACGTGTCGCCACGCCCATCTAACTTTTGTATGTTTAGTAGAGCCGGGGTTTCACCATGTTGGCCAGGATGGTCTCAAACTCCTGACCTCCTGATCTGCCCACCTCGGCCTCCCAAAGTGCTGGGATTACAGGCATGAGCCATTGCCCCGGCCAAAGTTAGGAGTTTGAGACCAGCCTGGCCAACATGGTAAAACCCCATCTCTACTAAAAAATACAAAAATTAGCCAGGCAAGATGGCATTTGCCTGTAATCCCAGCTACTCAGGAGGCTGAGGCGGGAGAATCTCTTGAATCTGGGAGGCAGAGGTTGCTGTGAGCTGAGATCGCGCCACTACACTCCAGCCAGGGCGACAGAGCATAAATAACTCCCTTTCAAAAAACCAAACAATGAAACATAGGTTAGCGGAGTCTGCATCCAACATTAGAGTCAGATTGACTAAGTTCTGTATTTCCAGCTGATTCCTGGGCGATGTTGGTGCCACTGGTCTGACCACCCTTTGACAACTGCTGCTCCAGATAATTCAAGTCGGGGTATAACACAACCAGTGAGATGTAAACCAAAGACGATTCCACGGTTAGATTCTCAAGAATGACTTGTTCTGCCGGGCGCGGTGGCTCACGCCTGTCATCCCAGCACTCTGGGAGGCCGAGGTGGGCAGATCACCTGAGATTGGGAGTTTGAGACCAGCCTGACCAACATGGAGAGACCCCCACCTCTACTGAAAATACAAAATTAGCTGGGCATGTTGGTGCATGGTGCATGCCTGCAGTCCCAGCTACTCGGGAGGCTGAGGCAGGAGAATCACTTGAACCCAGGAGGCGGAGGTTGCTGTGAGCCGAGATTGCGCCACCTGGGCAACAAGAGTGAGACTCAGTCTCAAAAAAAAAAAAAAAATGACGTGGTCCTATTTCTCCCACAGGTTGGTGTCTTGTTCCGCTACCACTCAGCAGTGGGCTGATCTCTCCTTGGCCCTTGAAGTCAACCAGTCCCTGACGTGCGTAAACCTCTCCGACAATGAGCTTCTGGATGAGGGTGCTAAGTTGCTGTACACAACTTTGAGACACCCCAAGTGCTTTCTGCAGAGGTTGTCGTAAGTCTCTCCTCTCTTACAGAGCAGCTGTGCTTTCGATCTGGGGCCACAGACGAGCAATGGTCATGCCTGACTTGGCTGTATGGAACCTCTCGCTGATGTGAACACCTGTTCCCATGTTTAGATCCAGGCCGATGGCCTGTGAATTTTGTTCTTCTCTCATTCCTATTCCTTCATAGGATCACCAGTGCATGATAGAAGGTGGGGAGTTCACAAGAAGGGGCTTTTGGATGCTGGCACTTGTGGAGCTAGCCGGGAAGGTTGAAGTTGGACCTGTCAACCGTGTTGCCATTTGTGATTCTTTTGTAGGTTGGAAAACTGTCACCTTACAGAAGCCAATTGCAAGGACCTTGCTGCTGTGTTGGTTGTCAGCCGGGAGCTGACACACCTGTGCTTGGCCAAGAACCCCATTGGGAATACAGGGGTGAAGTTTCTGTGTGAGGGCTTGAGGTACCCCGAGTGTAAACTGCAGACCTTGGTGTAAGTCCGTGCTGGCTGCCTGTGTGCGTGGGTGTATATGCACACGCCCCCCACCTCCGGGTTTGAGTAGGGTGGTTATGAGAACACTTAATTCCTCTAAAAGTTCCAAGCATGATGCTAATGACAACTGGTAAGACCTGGGTAGATGATGGTAGGAAAAAAGTATAAGTAGTAGTAGAGTAGTAGTAATATTCTATAGGGATTTGGGGAATGTAGCTGGTTTTCGGGTTTTTTTTTTCCTCTTTATGTATGTATGTATTTTAGAGATGGGATCTCGCCGTGTTGCCTAGGCTGGTCTCAAACTCCTGAGCTCAAGAGATCTGCCTGCCTTGGCCTCCCAAAGTGCTAGAATTACAGGCATGAGCCATGTCACCCCATGCTGTGTTTTCTCTTAATCTGTGTTCTTAGAACTATAACTGTAACATAAATTGCATGCAATTGGTTGTAAATGGAATTCATTTACTTATTTTTTAATGAATGATTTGCAAATCAGGTAGTCTTCTGGGCCAGTGTACGCTCAGACTCCCAATGGAAGCTATTGGAAGCTACATGCTCAATGTGATCCTCCTTTTAATACTAAAATCACAGGACACGTGGCCTGGCATAGTGGCTCACGCCTATAATCCCATCACCTTGGGAGGCCGAAGCAAGGCAGATCCCTTGAGGGCAGGAGTTCAAGACCAGCCTGCCCAACATGGTGAAACATTGTCTCTCTACTAAAAATACAAAAATTAGTCACGCATGGTGGGACATGCCTGTAATCCCAGTTACTCAGGAGGCTAAGGCAGGAGAATCACTTGAACTTCGGAGGTGGAGGTTGCAGTGAGCTGAGATGGCACCACTGAAGTCCAGTCTGGCCAATAGAGCAAGACTCTCTCAAAAAAAAAAAATTATAGGACAAATCTTTAGAAAGGAATTGGGGCCTGGCATGGTGGCTCATGCCTGTAATCTCAGCACTTTAGGAGGCGGGCAGAACACCTGAGGTCAGGAGTTTGAGACCAGCCTGGCTGATGCAGTGAAACCCTGTCTCTACTAAAAATACAAAAATTAGCTAGGCGTGGTGGTATGGTCCTGTAATCCCAGCTACTTGGGAGGCTGAGGCAGGAGAATCGCTTGAAGTCGGGAGGTTGCAGTGAGCCGAGATCGTGCCAGCCTGGGTGACAGAACGAGATTGTCTCAAAAAAAAAAAAAAATTGTATCTGCACTGATGGTTTCTGTTCAGAGATTCGATTTTATGTTAACATCTCTGGTATTTTTTTTTTTTTTTTTTAAGATGGAGTTTTACTCTTGCCCACGCTGGCAATGGCATGATCTAGGCTCACTGCAACCTCCGGCTTCAAGGAGGTTGATTCTCCTGCCTCAGCCTCCTGAGTAGCTGGGATTACAGGCACTCACCACCACGCCGGGCTAATTTTTATATTTTTAGTAGAGATGGGATTTCACCATGTTGGCCAGGTTGGTCTCGAACTGACCTCATGATCCGCCCGCCTCAGCCTTCCAAAGTGCTAGGATTTACAGGCATGAGCCACTGCGTCCAGCCATACATATCTCTGGTATTCTTTGTCTCTAACATCACCTCCAACAGTTAGGAACTGTCCTCTTCCTATGAAGTAACTAATCTAGGATATGTACCTGGCATCTGAAAACTACCCACTTAAATTTAATGACATATTCAGTTCATGGCTGGAGACGATGAGTAGAAGGAAAGGATTCTTCCCACACCCACTATATCTAGGCCCTGAAACATTAAAAAAGAAGTCCCACAAGCAGTGAGATGTCACCGACTCACTAACTGTATCTTCAAATGAATGTCTAGTTTTTTTGGTTGTGTGTGTGTGTGGTGTGTGGTGTGTGTGGTATTTTTTTGGGGGGGGGGGGGTTTTCTTTTTTTTTTTTTTTTGGTTTTTTTTTTTTGATAGTCTTGCTCTGTCGCCCAGGCTGGAATGCAGTGGCTCCATCTCAGCTCACTGCAACCTCCACCTCCTGAGTTCAGGTGTGATTCTCCTGCCTCAGCCTCCCAGGGATTAAGGTGCATGCCACCACGCCCAGCTAACTTCTTTATTTTTAGTAGAGACGAGTTTTCACCATGTTGGTCAAGCTGGTCTCGAATTCCTGACCTCAGGTGATCCACCCACCTCAGCCTCCCAAAGTGCTGGGATTACAGGTGTGAGCCACCGTGCCGGCCCCCTCAATTCAACTTTTTGATCCATGCCCCTATTTTGCTAAGTTGTCAACTTCCCTTTAGTCTTATGTGGGTTTTCCTCCATTACAGTCATGGAAGTTTCTAGAAGGCCGGGTAGGGTCTTTGAGAGGCCGAGGCAGGTGGATCATGAGGTCAGGAGTTCAAGACCAGCCTGGCCAACATGGTGAAACCCTGTCTTTACTAAAAATACAAAAATTAGCCAGGCGTGGTGTCGGAGCCTGTAATCCCAGCTTACTTGGGAGGGTGAGGCAGAGAATTGCTTGAACCTGGGAGGCGGAAGTTGCAGTGAGCTGAGATTGTGCCACTGTACTCCAGCCTGGGTGTCAGAGCGAGACTGTCTCAAAAAAAAAAAAAAAAAAGTTTCTATACATTCATAAAGTTTCAAGATTTGGGGGTGTGTTTTCACTTCTCCATCGTCATGGACTCCAATCTGCCATCTATTTCCAAGGCCCTTCCAGGTCCTGTGTCCCTCAGCTAGTGGTATGCTTCACTTGGGACCCAGAGATACATGGGCATTATAGTTCAAATTATAATTAAGTTTAGAACTCTATTGAGACAGAAGAAAGAAAACAGAGCTAAGGTGAAATATCTCTGATAATCTGTGTTGGTTAATATCTAGGATCCTAGTACCAGATATGTTGGAGTGTGAGCTGGTGTCTTCTGCCTGTAAGACACTACCTCTCTAGCAACTGAATTTAGCAAATACAATCGTAATCCCAGCATGTTAGGGAGGCCAGGGTGGGCAGATCATCTGAGGTCGGGAGTTCAAGACCAGCCTGGCCAACATGGGGAAACCCTGTCTCTACTAAAAATACAAAACTTAGCTGGGTGTGGTGGCACGCGCATGTGTGTACACACACACACCCCCCTGTAATCCCAGCTACTCGGAAGGCTGGGGCACAAGAATCGCGTGAAACCAGGAGGCGGAGGTTGAAGTGAGCCACCGTGCCAGCTGAGAATCCTTTTTACTTCTCCAACTTCTGTTGGCCACCTGCATTCCTTGGCTTGTGGCCCTTCCTCCAACTTCGGCAGAGCATCTTCAAACGTTGCCCTGGCTCCCTTATCACGTCACCTCCTGCTGGCTTTGACTCTCAGCTCCCTCTTATGAGGATCCCTGTGATTGCTGGACCTACCCAAATAAACCAGGATATAAACCATCTTAAGATGCTCAGTCACCTCTACGAGGTCCCTTTTGCTCGCAGGTGCCAGGAGTTGGGACTTGGACATCTTTAGGGGAGGCCATTCTTCTGTCCACCACACCACCCCATGATTCCATTTCCATGTCACCACTGTCTCTAAGTGTGTCTAACCCACGGCTCAAGAGTCAAAGGTGCATCACAGCAGTGAGAACTCACAGGTTCGGGTTTGCTTTCTTCCTGTGGTTGATTTCTAGGCTTTGGAACTGCGACATAACTAGCGATGGCTGCTGCGATCTCACAAAGCTTCTCCAAGAAAAATCAAGCCTGTTGTGTTTGGATCTGGGGCTGAATCACATAGGAGTTAAGGGAATGAAGTTCCTGTGTGAGGCTTTGAGGAAACCACTGTGCAACTTGAGATGTCTGTGGTGAGTTAACTTATAAGTTCAACTTCCTATACTTACACCTTACTGAATCTGTGGCTAGTGTAAAATAATCAGTGAAGCCGACTTCCCAAGTTATATAATTGAGAGGACCTTTATAGAGTCGATCGAGCATTTACTAGGATGGTTAAAGGAATAAGTTCTAGTCTATGTCTAAGTTTTTGTTTTTTTTTTTCTTGAAGTTTTGCTCTTGTCACATAGGCTGGAGTGCAGTGGCGTGATCTTGGCTCACTGCAACCTCCGCCTCCCAGGTTCAAGCAATTCTCTTGCTTCAGCTTCCCGAGTAGCTGGGATTACAGGCGCCCGCCACCATGCCCAGCTAATTCTTGTATTTTTAGTAGAGACAGGGTTTCGCCATGTTGAAGGTTCATCTCAAACTCCTGACCTCAGGTGATCCGCCCATCTCGGCCTCCCAAAGTGCTGGGATTACAGGCGTGAGCCACTGCGCCAGGCCCTATGTCTAAGTTCTAGTCTGTGTCATGCAAAGAACACCTGTGAAATTTTAAGGATACAGTGCCTCAAGCCATTCAGCCAAAAGCCACTGCCCAGCACCCCACATTCAGAGAGGTGGGAATTGGGCCAGGCACAGTGGCTCATACCTGTAATCCCAGCACTTCGGGAGGCCGAAGCGGGCGGATCACTTAAGGTCAGGAGCTCAAGACCAGCCTGGCCAACTTGAAACTCCATCTCTACTAAAATATAAAAATTAGCCGAGCATAGTAGTGGGTGCCTCTTTTTTTTTTTTTTTTTTTTTTGAGATAGTTTCACTCTTGTTGCCCAGGCTGTAGTGTAATGGCGCGATCTCAGCTCACTGCAACCTCCACCTCCTGGGTTCAAGTGATTCTCCTGCCTTAGCCTCCCACATAGCTGCAAATAAACAGGCATGTGCCACCATGCCTGGCTAATTTTGTATTTTTAGTATAGACGGGGTTTCTCCATGTTGGTCAGGCTGGTCTCGACCTCCGGACCTCAGGTGAGAGCCACCGTGCCCAGCCAGTAGGTGCCTTTAATCCCAGCTACTTGGGAGGCTGAGGCAGGAGAATCACTTGAACCCTGGAGGCAGAGGTTGCAGTGAGCTGAGATCCTGTCACTACACTCCATCCTGGGCTACAAGAGCAAGACTCCATCTCAGGAAAAAATAAAAAAGAGGTAGGAATTAGATATCGTGCCAGAAAATGCTGGCTCTATCAGCAGGTGAGTGGTCTCAACTTGGCTATCTTACAAATACCTTGTGAGTTAGCTACAATCAGATGCACTTGAACCTGGAATCCTATCTGGGAGGCAATCTTAAAAGAATTTGACTCGGGATGGGCAAGGTGGCTCATGCCTGTAATCCTGGCATTTTGGGAGTCCAAGGCAGGTAGATTGCTTGAGGCCAAGAATTTAAAAACAGCCTGGCCAACACAATGAAGCCCTGTCTCTACTGAAAGTACAAAAATCCGCTGAGCATGGCTGTGTACCTCTGCTCCCAGTTACTCAGGAGGCTGAGGTGGGAGGATCACTTGAGCCTGGGAGGAAGAAGTTACAGCGAATTGAGATCACGTCACCTCACTCCAGCCTGGGTGACAGTGAGATCCTGTCTCAAAAAAAAAAAAAAAACAAAAAAAACAAAGGCGCCTTTTTAATCACTCACTGACACGTGTAGAGGAGCAAAAAGTTTGAGTTGCTGGTTGGCCCAGGAGGTCAAGGCTGCAGTGAGCCAAGATGGCGTTACCACACTCCAGCCTGGGCAACCGAGTGAGACCGTGTTTCAAAAAATAAAGTGGCAGGGTGCAGTGGCTCATGCCTGTAATTCCAGCACTTTGGGAGGCCGAGGCAGGTGGATCACCTAAGGTCAGGAGTTCGTAGACCAGCCTGTCTCTACTAAAGAGACAGGTGAAACCCTGTCTCTCTAAAACCACAAAAATCAGGCAGGCATGGTGGCACATAGCTATAATCTCATCTACTTGGAGGCACGAGAACTGCTTGAATCCAGGAGGCAGAGGCTACAGTGAGCCGAGATCATGCCACAGCACTCCAGCCCTGGCGAGAGAGCAAGACTGTCTCAAAGAATAACTTCAAAGATGGAAGTTATTTAACCTCTCTGCTCAAAAGCCTCAGTGCTTCCCTATGTCAATCCAGGTAAAATCCTATATTGACGATGGCTTCAGGGTCTTCTGTGAGCTGGCCACTGCTTACCTATGACCTCATCTTGACAATCCTCCCTGTCTCACTCATGCCCGCTGCCTGGATGTTCTATTTTACGTGTCAGTCACATGTATCTTCAGGGCCTCTGCACAAGCTATTTCTCTGCCTGGAGAACTCCCCCCCGAGCTCTATGACTCGGTCTCTTCACCCCCTCACCTCCAACCATTGTAGCCAGAACCCCCAGTTATTCCCTGTACCCCTTGCCCTTCAGAACCCCTCATCGCCTCCATATTTTCCTGTTAGCAGATGAGCCCTGAGGGCGGAGACGTTTTGTTTGTTTTTTGAGACCGGAGTCTCACTCTGTCACCCAGGCTGGAGTGCAATGGCGCGATCTCGGCTCACTGCAACCTCCGCCTCCTGGGTTCAAGCGATTCTCCTGCCCCAGCCTCCTGAGTAGCTGGGATTACAGGTGCCTGTCACCACGCCCAGCTAACTTCTGTATATTTAGTAGAGACACGGTTTTACCATGTTAGGTTGGTCTTGAACTCCTTGACCTCAGGTGATCCATCCACCTCGGCCTCCCAAAGTGCTGGGATTACAGGCGTGAACCACCGTGCCCGGCCTGAGACTTCTGTTGGTCATGCAGATCCCCAACACACGAGGGTGGGCTTGGCTTGCCGGAGGGCATCGATCAGCACTGGCTGCATTAACGTGTTGATTTCTGTGTTTCCCCAGGTTGTGGGGATGTTCCATCCCTCCGTTCAGTTGTGAAGACCTCTGCTCTGCCCTCAGCTGCAACCAGAGCCTCGTCACTCTGGACCTGGGTCAGAATCCCTTGGGGTCTAGTGGAGTGAAGATGCTGTTTGAAACCTTGACATGTTCCAGTGGCACCCTCCGGACACTCAGGTATGATCCATTTACTTCCCCATCAGGCTTTCTCCAGAGTGGTAGGTTTAGGGGAAGCATAATGACATGGACCTGCTGTAGGAGACTGATCTGGTAGCTGGATTACAGGTTCCCGCCATCACACCCAGCCAATTTCTGTATTTCACTTGGAGAAACGGGGTTTCACCATGTTGGTCAGGCTGGTCTCAAACTCCTGACCTCAGGTGATCCGCCCGCCTCGGCCTCCCAAAGTGCTGGGATTACAGGCGTGAGCAACCGCACCCGGCCACCTTTTTTTTTTTTTTCCTTTGAGGCAAGAACTCACTATGTTCCCCAGGCTGGAGTCCAGCAGCACAATGATGGCTCGCTGCAGGCTCGCTCCAGCTCCTGGGCTCAAGCAATCCTGCCTCAGTTCCTGAGTAGGTAGGTTTATAAGCATGAACCATTGCACCCAGCCACGGCTGCCGTCTACCTGCTCATGATAGCCATTTGTCACTGGGCTGTGTTTTGTTTGTTGCATTTTGTCAGGGTTTTGGGGTTTTGTTTTGTTTTTTCTTTCTTTTTTTTTTTTTTTTTCTGAGATGGAGTCTCACTCTGTTGCCCAGGCTGGGGTGCAGTGGTTGCTAACTGCAACCTCCACCTCCCAGGTTCCAGCTATTCTCATGCTTCAGCCTCCCAAGTAGCTGGGATTACAGGCATGCACCACCACACCTAGGTAATTTTTGTATTTTTAGTAGAGACAGGGTTTTGCCATGTTGGCCAGGGTGGTCTCAAACTCCTGACCTCCGTGATTTGCCCACCTCAGCATCCCAAAGTGCTGGGATTACAGGCATGAGCCACCGCACCCGGCCTGAGTTGTATTTTGATACCATGGCATCAAAGAACCAAGAAGCCCCTTCCTAGGAATGTGGGAACTTCAGAAATTCTCACAAGCAATATACTCTACTGCTGGCTTAAAATAATCTTTATGTAGAAGAAACATAGATTACTTGTTTATTTAACATGAAACTCAGCCTAAGATACTTTGTAAGTCAAAAGACATATGGACACTAAGGGTTTTTTTAAGCTTTAAGTTTGTTTGTTTGTTTATTTATTATTTATTTTGGAGACAGTTTTACTCTTTTTTTTGGGGTGCATCTTTTTTCTTTTTTTTTTTTTTTTTTCCTTTTTTTTTTTTTTTTTTTTTATTGATCATTCTTGGGTGTTTCTCACAGAGGGGGATTTGGCAGGGTCATAGGACAATAGTGGAGGGAAGGTCAGCAGATAAACAAGTGAACAAAGGTCTCTGGTTTTCCTAGGCAGAGGACCCTGCGGCCTTCCGCAGCGTTTGTGTCCCTGGGTACTTGAGATTAGGGAGTGGTGATGACTCTTAACGAGCGTGCTGCCTTCAGGATCTGTTTAACAAAGCATATCTTGCACCGCCCTTAATCCGTTTAACTCTGAGTGGACACAGCACATGTTTCAGAGAGCACGGGGTTGGGGGTAAGGTCACAGATCAACAGGATCCCAAGGCAGAAGAATTTTTCTTAGTACAGAACAAAATGGGGGGCTGACCCCCCCACCTCCCTCCCGGACAGGGCGGCTGGCCGGTTAGAGGGGCTCCTCACTTCCCATTAGGGGCGGCCGGGCAGAGGCGCCCCTCACCTCCCGGACAGGGCGGCTGGCTGGGCGGGGGGCTGACCCCCCCACCTCCCCGCCCGGCCAGAGTTTTACTCTTGTTGTCCAGCCTGGAGCGCAATGGCGCTATCTCGGCTTACTGCAACCTCCGCCTCCCGGGTTCAAGAGGTTCTCCTCCCTCAGCCTCCCAAGTAGCTGGGACTACAGGCATGTGCCACCACACCTGGCTAATCTTGTATTTTTAATAGAGACAGGGTTTCTCCATATTGGTCAGGCTGGTCTCGAACTCCTGACTTCAGGTGACCCGCCTGCCTCAGCCTCCCAAAGTGCTAAGATTACAGGCGTGAGCCACCATGCCTGGCCTGCATCTCCTCTGTTTAACTGGTACTCCGGGGTCCACTGAGTAGAAGTTGCCAAAGTGGGTGATAGAGCGGGTAAGCAGGTATTAGAGCTATAGCCCAGCTGTACTCAGCAATTCCATTTTCTGTGTATGATAATCAACAAGCATCTCAAACTGCACAATGGCTATATACCATTACAAGGTTAACCTGATGTTATGTTTTTCTCTATCAGATCAACATGGTTGAGAATAAGAGGAATGAAAAAAAGGATTAAAAAGAGAAATGAAAGTCTTTAATATTACATTTTATTATTTACTTCATTTATTTTTTAGACAAAAATCTCACTCTATTGCTCAGGCTGGAGTGCAGGGGCCCGATCTCAGCTCACTGTAACCTCCGCCTCCCAGGTTCAAGTGATTCTCCTGTGTCAGCTTCCTGAGTAGCTGGGATTATAGGGATGCACCATCACACCCAACTAACTTTTATATTTTTAGTAGAGATGGACTTTCACCATCTTGCCTAGGCTGGTCTCAAACTCCTGACCTCAAGTGATCTGCCCACCTCACTCTCCCAAAGTGCTGGCATTACAGGCATGACCCACCACATCTGGCCTCATTTTATATTTAAAAATAAAAAATAAGCAAATCAAGCCAGGTACAGTTTAGGCAACATGGTAAAACCCCAACTCTACTAAAAATACAAAAATTAGCTGAGCATGGTGGCAGGTGCCTGTAGTCCCAGCTACTCGGGAGGCAGAGGATAGGATGGCTTGAACCCAAGAGGCACAGGTTGCAGTGAGCTGAGATGGTACCACTGCACTCCAGCTTGGGCAACAGAGAGACTGTCTTTTTTTTTTTTTTTTTTTTTTTTTTTTTTTTTTTTTTTGAGATCGCCCAGGCTGGAGTACAGTGGCACGATCTCGGCTCACTGCAAGCTCCGCCTCCCGGGTTCACACCATTCTCCTGCCTCAGCCTCCTGAGTAGCTGGGACTACAGGCGTCCGCCACCACGCCCGGCTAATTTTTTGTATTTTTTTAGTAGAGACAGGGTTTCACCGTGTTAGCCAGGATGGTCTTGATCTGCTGACCTCGTGATCCACCCGCCTCAGCCTCCTAAAGTGCTGGGAATTACAGGCGTGAGCCATCACGCCCCACCTGAGACTGTCTTTTAAAAAAAAAAAAAAAAAATCAATGTGGAACACTCCTTTGCCACCTAGAATAATCAGGAAAGGTGACCCATGCCCTGTGCCTCCTTAACAGACTTTCAGGTACTTGGGAATTTGAAACAAATCTCCTTGATGCACAAAGTAACCTTTTCTTCCCCCATTGTACCCCAGGTTGAAAATCGATGACTTTAATGATGAACTCAATAAGCTGCTGGAAGAAATAGAAGAAAAAAACCCACAACTGATTATTGATACTGAGAAACATCATCCCTGGGCAGAAAGGCCTTCTTCTCATGACTTCATGATCTGAATCCCCCCGAGTCATTCATTCTCCATGAAGTCATCGATTTTCCAGGTGTTGGTGAACTGCCTGTGACTCCTCTCCTCCCCGGCCCCTACCCCTCAGGGATAATGAGTTCATTGCTGGGCTAGATGTTTTAGCCATGATTCTGCCTCTGTTTTATACCTGCACACATCCTTATCTTTGTTACATATGAAATATCTGTATCACGGGTATATTGAGAGAAATAAAGGTGAGAGCATTCACAAATGAAGCTGTTACTTAATAATGGGCTTTGACAAGTTAGAGAAAAGATATCTTACTGGGTAGAACCTGGGGGGTGGGGGAAGTGACAGTGTTTAATTGCATTGATTTCTATTGCCTTGTCAATCTTTGCCTTGCCTTGGTATTTCCTTTCTTTTTTCTTTTCTTTTTTTTTTTTTTTTTTTTTAGACTGAGTTTCACTCTGTTGCCCACGCTGGAGTACACTGGCACGATCTCAGCTTACTACAACCTGGCAGGTTCAAGCGATTCTCCTGTCTCAGCCTCCTGAGTAGCTGGGATTACAAGCATCCCCCACCACACCCGGCTAAATTTTTTTGTATTTTTAATAGAGATGAGGTTTCACCATGTTGGCCAGTCTGGTCTCAAACTCCTGACCTCAAGTGATCCACCCACCTCAGCCTCCCAGAGTGCTGGGATTACAGGCATGAGCCACTGTACCCGGCTTTTTTTTTTTTCTTTTTCTTTTTCCTCAAGCATGAGTGTTGCTCTGTTGCCCAGGCTGGAATACAGCAGCATGATGATAGCTCACTGCAGCCTCAAGCTCCCAGGTTCAAGCGATCCTCCAGCCTCAGCCTCCTCAGTAGCTGGGACTACAGGTGCACACCACCAAACCAGGCCAATTTTTGTGGGATTTTTTTTGAAGACAGGGTCTCACTATGTTGCCCAGGCTGATCTCAAACTCCCAGGCGCAAGTAATATTCCTGCCTCAGCCTCCCAAAGTGCTAGGATTACAGGTGTGAACCACTGTGCCTAGCCTGTCTTGTTACTTGTTGACCTGCGTGGATCACTGCCTGCTGAGTATTACTTGCCAGAGGATTTCTCCTACCAATCTACAATATTTTAGGTGCTTCGGTGTAGCTCATATATGACCATGTCATTGCTCTGATTTTGCTTTTTAAAAATTCTAACTTAAAATAGAATCTCGGCCAGGCACGGTGGCTCACACCTGTAATCCCAGCACTTCGGGAGGCTGAGGTGGGTGGATCACGAAGTCAGGAGTTGGAGACCAACCTGGCCAACGTGGTGAAACCCCGTCTCTACTAAAAATATAAAAAATTAGCCAGGCATGGTGGCACATGCCTGTAATCCCAGCTACTTGGGAGGCTGAGGCAGGAGAATTGCTTAAACCCAGGAGGTGGATGTTGCACTGTGCTGAAGACTGCACTACTGCATTCCAGCTTGGGCAACAGAGTGACTCCTTCTCCAAAAAAAAACAAAATCTCATGGTATGCATAGTTTTTCACTATAGAGTCTCCATTATTTCCTTGTGATACAGAATTCCAAATTCAACAAAGCAGCAGTGCAAGCTCTACGCTGTAAAACCACAAACAAAACGAACTGTACTATAAAGACAACACTAGTTGGCAAAGTTGCTTCTCATGGGGAGACTTTGTTGCTGTCTGTGTTTACTGGATGAGCAAACAAATGGACGGTAAGGGGGAAAAAGAACAGTACAAATTTTTATTAAACACTAATCATGTTTTTTTTTGTTTGTTTTGAGACAGTTTCTTCTTGTTGCCCAGGCTGGAGTGCAATGGCACGATTTTGGCTCACTGCAACCTCCGCCTCCCCGGGTTCAAGCGATTCTCTTGCCTCGACCTACTGAGTAGCTGGGATTATAGGCATGTGCCACCAAGCCTGGCTAATTTTGAATTTTTAGCAGAGACGGGGTTTTTCCATGTTGGTCAGGCTGGTCTCGAACTCCCGACCTCAGGTGATCCACCAGCCTTGGTCTCCCAAAGTGCTGGGATTACAGGTATAAGTCACCGCACCTGGCAACATTTTTTTCTTTTTTTTTTTTTTTTTTTTTTTTTTTTTTGGTGGCAGAATCTTGCTCTTTCACCCAGGCTGGAATGCAATGGCACGATCTCGGGTCACTGCAGCCTCCACCTCCCCAGTTTAAGCAGTTCTCCCATCTCAGCCTCCCATGTAGCTGGGACCACAGGTGTGCACCACTGCACCCAGGTAATTTTTGCATTTTTGGTAGAGATAGGGTTTTGCCACGTTGTCCAGACTGGTCTTGAACTCCTGAGCTCAGGTGATCTGCCCACCTTGGCCTCCCCAAATGCTGGGATTATAGGCATGAGCCACCACACCTGGTCAAAAGTAGTTTTAATATTTAAATTTAAAACTAAAAAAGTTAATCTCTCTTCCTACTTTCATTTCTTCATCAGGGGCTATTGGTTTATTCCCACCGACTAGATCCAAGTTCTCTGATACTACCTTTAAACCACTCCATCACTTTCCAGTTCCACTGCATACAGTGTGGGCTTCTGAGGTTTCCTGGTTCAAGGTGTCCTTGTTCAATGCGGCATGGGTCATTCCCTGAGCATTTTTTTTTTTTTTTGACAGTCTCGCTCCATTGCCCGGTTTGGAGTGCAGTGGTGTGACCTCGGCTTACTGCAGCCTCTGCCTCCCAAGTTCAAGCAATTCTGCCTCAGGCTCCCGGATAATTTTTGCATTTTTAGTAGAGACAGGGTTTCACCGCGCTGGCCAGGCTGGTCTCGAACCCCTAACCTCAAGCGATCTGCCTGCCTCGGTCTCCCAAAGTGCTGGGATTACAGACATAAGCTACCGTGCCCGGCCTCCAGAGCATCTTTATTCTCAGTTTCAGCGGGAAGAAGGGGGAAGGTTGGTAAAAAGAGAGGCACAAAGTTTAAAAAGGACATTGCGTGAAGAAACTAAAGGTTTCTCCTTCTCCACACTATTGACATTTGGGATCGGATCACTACTCGTTGGGAAACGTCCTGTACATTTCCAGGGTGTTCGGCACCATCCCTAGCCTCTACCCCCTAGATACCAGCTCACATCCTCACAGTTAACAGTGATCAAAAATGTCTCTGGGCAGTAGAAAATATTTCCTGAAATGCAAAGTTTTCTTAGGTTGAGAACCATTGTAATCTAGCCCCATCTTTAGAGAAGAAATTGAGTAACGGATCTACATCCATTGAGGAACTATCGACACCCCAGGGGCCCATGAAATGTAAACTCGCACTCACAATTAACCATCTTTCTCCAACGTGTGTATTTCATGTAGCCACACTCTCAGATGCCCACCCCCATGACCTACAAGTCCTAAACAGGGAAACCTGTGGCACATGGGTTCATGTGTGTCTGAATCTATACGTTCAGAGATGAACAAGTACTGCTCTCCCTATACCTGTGACCACTCGCCTCCGCCCATCACTGAATTCTGAAAATGTGGCCTCAGGCTCACAGCAGCATTAGCACTTGCTTGCTCTGGATCTCATCACATTGATGATCAAGAACAAAGTATTCACTGGGTTCTCTGCTAAGGATACAAAAAAAACCATTCCACAATTCCACGGCCATGTTTGCACCCAGGAACCACGAGGGCTGGGTTAGCCCAGATGGTGGGCTTGGGAAATGTTCCTGGAGCAAAAAAAAGAGCCAGAAGTCATGAGAGCCTGACCCCCTCCCCCAACGCGCACACACACACACCACTCTCTACCTCCAAGCCTCATTTTCAGGCTTCTCAAAGCTAAGGTCACTCCCATGAGCTAAGCCGCGCTTTTCTCAATCCTCAGCTCTTCCACAAGAATAGGAAGAACTCTCTCCTGTTCAAGATCCTGTGGCTCAGCTGCAGCTCTGGAAGAAAGACCCCGGTGAGGGTCTTGCTTTTCACAATCCCCAATCCCAGACCACATCCTGTGCCCCAAAACAACTTCCATGGTAACCACATCCTTCAGGAAGTGAAGTCAGGCAGGAAGTCAAGTCAGAAGACGGAATGGGCTGGGCATGGTGGATCGCACCTGTAATCCCAGCACTTTGGGAGGCAGAGGCAGGTGGATCACATGAGGTCAGGAGTTTGAGACCAGCCTGGCCAACATGGTGAAACCCTGTCTCTACTAAAAATACCAAAAGTAGCCAGGCTTGGTGGTGCATGCCTGTAATCCCAGCTACTCTGGAGGCTGAGGCAGGAGAATCGCTTAAACCCGGAAGGCGGAGGTTGCAATGAGCCGAGATCGCACCATTGCACTCCAGCCCGGGGGACAGAAAAAAAAATGTAGCTGAGCATGGTAGTGCACGTCTGTGATCTCAGCTACTTGGGAGTCTGAGGCAGGAGAATCACTTGAACCCAGGCGGTGGAGGTTGCAGTGAGCCAAGATTGTAATAGTCCAATGTGTTCACCTTGCCCACTGCCTAGACAGAGCTGATTCGTCAAGACAGGGAATCGCAATAGAGAATAATTCATGCAGAGCTGGCTCTACGAGAGACCAGAGTTTTATTATTATTCAAATCAGTGTCTCCCAGCATTCAGGAAGCGTTTTTAAGGATAACTTGGTGGGTGGGTGGGAAGCCAGTGAGCCAGGAGTGCTGTTTGGTCAGGGATGAAATCGTGGGAGCCAAAGCTATCTTCTTGCACTCAGTTCCTGAGTGGAGGCCAAAAGATAAGATGGGCCAGTTTATTGATATGGGTGGTGCCAGCTGATCCATCAAGTACAGGGTCTGCAAGTTAAACGCTGATCTTAGAAGCAGTTTAGGGAGGGTCACAATCTTGTAGCCTCCAGCTGCATGACTCCTAAGTCATAATTTCTAATCTCGTGGCTAATGTTCGTCCTACAGGGCCAATCTAGTCCCCAGGCAACAAAGAGGTGTGCTTTGGAAAAGGGCTATCATCTTTGTTTAAACTATAAGTTTCTCCCAAAGTTCAGCCTATGCCCAGGAATGAAAAAGGACAGCTTGGAGGTTAGAAGCAAAATGGAGTCAGTTAAATCTCTTTCACTGTCTCAGTCATAATTTTGGAAAGGTGGTTTCAAGCTGGCACAACTGCACTCCACCCTAGGAGACAGAGCGAGACCCTGTCAAAAAAAAAAAAAAAAAACAAGAAGTGAAGTCAAGATAGGAGGTAAATTCGGAAGACAGGAAGTGGTGGTAGAAGACAAGAAGTGAAGTCATACAGGAAGTAAAGTCAGAAGACAGGAAGTGAAGTAAGAAGACAGGAAGTGGTTGTAGAAGACAGGAAGTGAGGTCATACAGGAAGTAAAATCAGAAGACAGGAAGTGACGTCAAACCAGGATTTGCAGTCGGAGGCAGGCAAGAAGTGAAATCAGAAGACGGGAAGTGGCTGAGGGGAACGTCTTTTCTCTCTCCTGCTCAGCCCGAAGTGAACAGGTAGCATCAGGTGTGCCATTTCAGTGACTGGGCACAGCCCAGGCACCCACATCTCTCTGCAGCGCCTATTCTTGGAACACCAGAGACCTCTACACTATTTTCTGTTGCTTTTTTCCTTCATTTTCAGAGATGAGATCCTGGATTGAATGACTACTATGGAAAGTGATTGACCAAGGTAAGTCACAACTATCTTGTTCTTTAATTTTGGTGTTGTTTGTTATGACTTGTTAGCCGTCTAGCACTCATAGCTTTGCATTTCCACTCTGCATTACTTGTATTTTTATTATTTTGTGATATTCGTAATAATTTATTATAAAACTGTGTTATTTTTGGATATTTTTAAGTTAAAATGCGATTTTTTAACTAAGTGGCAGTATGCAAAGCAAGTGGTTCAGAACTCTCCCCCATTAATAAGTCTTCTCTCCTGAAAGAAACAATTTTGAGACTTCCTGTTCTTAATTCTGTTTAACAGCATACTTCTAAAAGAAAAAGTGTATACTGTTATTATTTATTGTGTTACAAAAATATACACGCACCTTTCATGCACGTCCGTGTGAAGAGACCACCAAACAGGCTTTGTGTGAGCAATAAAGCTTTTAATCACCTGGGTGCAGGTGGGCTGAGTCTGACAAGAGAGTCAGCGAAGGGGGATAGGGGTGGGGCCGTTTTATAGGATGTGGGTAGGTAAAGGAAAATTACAGTCAAAGGGGGGTTGTTCTCTGGCGGGCAGAGTCGGGGTCATAAGGTGCTCAGTAGGGGAGCTTTTGAGCCAGGATGAGCCAGGAGAAGGAATTTCACAAGACAATGTCATCAGTTAAGGCAGGAACAGGCCATTTTCGCTTCTTTTGTGGTGGAATGTCATCAGTTAAGGCACGAACCGGCCATCTGGATGTGTACGTGCAGGTCACAGGGGATATGATGGCTTAGCTTGGGCTCAGAGGCCTGACATTCCTGTCTTCTTATATTAATAAGAAAAATAAAATGAAATAGGGGTAAAGTGTTGGGACAGCAAAAATTTTTGGGGGTGGTATGGAGAGATAATGGGTGATGTTTCTCAAGGCTGCTTTGAGCAGGATTAGGGGCGGCGTGGGAACCTAAAGTGGGAGCGATTAAGCTGAAGGAAGATTTTGTGGTAAGGGGTGACATTGTGGGATTGTTAAAAGAAACATTTGTCATTTAGAATTATTGGTGATGGCCTGGATACAGTTTTGTATGAATTGAAAAACTAAAGGGAATAAGGAAAGGAGAAAAACAGGTATTAAAGGTCTAAGAATTGGGACGACTCAGGACATCTAATTAGAAAGTGCCTAAGGAGGTTCAGCATAGCCTTGCCAGCAAAGATTATTTATTTATTTTAAGAGTTAACAGTGGCGGTATGGGGATAGTACCAGGAGATACCAGCTGTGCTGGCTTGGAGAAACAGTGTAAACTGGCAGTGTAAACAAGAGCAGGGCATGTGTGAGTAGTTGAGAACGGTGAATAGGAGTATGACTAGACAGAAGATAGTAGGGATGACAAGTTTTTTGGGGCACAATCTAAGTTGGTCTGGTGTCTGGAATGAGACTGGGGCCTAATAAAAAGGAGTGTCTACACAGGAGCTTAAATGGGCTGTATCTTGTAGCATTCCAAGGACAGGCCTGAATTCTGGAAGCGAAAATGGTAAAAGTATTGTCCAGTCCTTTTTAAGTTGGTGGCTGAGCTTGGTGAGGTGTGTTTTTAATAGACCATTAGTCTGTCACTGAATACTAAGAGCCTGAAAAAATGCTTGGCTGATTTGACTAATAAAGGCTGGTCTGTTAGCAGACTGTATAGAGGTGGGAAGGCTGAACTGAGGAATTTTGTCTGACAGAAGGGAATGACAAGGCTAAACTGAAGAATTATGTCTGACAGAAGGGAAGAAATGACTGCGGTGGCCTTCTCAGACCCTGTAGGAAAGGACTGTACTTACCCAGTGAAAGTGTCTACCTAGACTAAGAGGTATTTTAGTTATCTTACTCGGGGCATGTTGAGTAAAGCTAATTTGCCAGTCCTGGGCGGGGGCAAATCCTTGAGCTTGATGTGTAGGGAAGGGAGGGGGCCTGAATAATCCATGAGGAGTAGTAGAATAGCTGATGCAACACTGAGAAGTGATTTCTTTGAGGATAGATTTCCACAATGGAAAGGAAATGAGAGGTTCTAAGAGGCTGGCTAGTGGCTTGTACCATAGCATAGCCTGCCTTTGCTGGTGTGTGGCGATTAGGCCTGGTGGAACCGCCATCAATAAACTAAGTGTGATCAGGGTGAGAAACAGGGAAGAAGGAAATGTGGGGAAATGGGGTGAACGTCAGGTGGATCAGAGAGATGCAGTCATGGGGGTCAGGTGTGGTATCTGGAATAATGTGGGAGGCCAGATTGAAGTCCGGGCCAGGAACAATGGTAATTGTGGGACTTAACAAAGAGTGAGTACAGCTGAAGGAGCCAGGGAGCAGAAAGTATATGCATCAGGTGTGAGTAAGAAAATAGATTTTGGAAATTATGAGAGCTGTAGAGAGTGAGTTGAGCATAGTTTGTGATTTTGAGGGCCTCTAAAAGTATTAAAGCAGCGGCAGCCACAGCACGCAGATATGAGGGCTAGGCTAAAACAGTAAGGTCAAGTTGTTTGGACAGAAAGGCTACAGGGTGTGGTCCTGGCTCTTGTGTAAGAGTTCTGACCGCGCTAACCATGCCTAGGAAGGAAAGGAGTTGTTGTTTTGTAGAAGGTGCTGGGGCTTGAGAGATCAGTCAGACACGATCAGCAGGGAGAGCACGTGTGTTTTTATGAGAATTATGCCGAGATAGGTAACAGATGAGGATGAACTTTGGGCTTGACTGAAGTAATGGGGGCTGTCTGTGAAACCTTGCAGCAGTACAGCCCAGGTAATTTGCTGAGCCTAATGGGTGTCAGGGTCAGTCCAAGTGAAAGCGAAGAGAGGCTGGGACGAGGGGTGCAGGGGAATAGTGAAAAAAGCATCTTTAAGATCAAGCATGGAATAGTGAGTTGTGGAGGAAGGTATTGAGGACAAAAGAGTGTAGGGGTTGGGCACCACAGGGTGCATAGGCAAAACAATTTGATAAGGCGCAGATCCTGAACTAATCTGTAAGACTTTTCCGGTTTTTGGACAGGTAAAATGGGGGAATTGTAAGGAGAGTTTATAGGTTTTAGAAGCCCATGCTATAGCAGGCGAGTGATAACAGGCTTTAATCCTTTTAAAGTGTGCTGTGGGATGGGATATTGGCATTGAGCAGGGTAAGGGTGATTAGGTTTTAATGGGATGGTAACGGGTATGTGATCAGTTGCCAGGGAAGGAGTAGAGATGTCCCATACTTGTGGGTTAAGGTGGGGGAATAGGAGAGGAAGACGCGAAGGAGGCTTTGGGTTGAGGAGAAGGGTGGCAATGAGATGCGGCTGTAGTCCAGGAATAGTCAGGGAAGCAGATAATTTGGTTAAAATATCTCGGCCTAATAAGGGAACTGGGCAGGTGGGGATAACTAAAAAAGAGTGCATAAAAGAGTGTTGTCCAAGTTGGCACCAGAGTGGGGGAGTTTTCAGGGGTTTAGAAGCCTGGCCGTCAATACCCACAACAGTTATGGAGGCAAGAGAAACAGGCCCTTGAAAAGAAGGTAATGTGGAGTGGGTAGCCTCCGTATTGACTAAGGCGACGGACTTACCTTCCACCGTGAGTGTTACCCGAAGCTCGGCATCCGTGATGGTCTACAGAGCTTCCGAGGCGATTGGGCAGCATCAGTCTTCAGCCGCTAAGCCGAGAAGGAGTCAGAGAGCCTTGGGCCAGAGTTCCAGGGGCTCTGGGAGTGGCTGCCAGGTGAGTTGAACAGTCCGATTTCCAGTGGGGTCCCGCACAGATGGGACACGGCTTAGGAGGAATCCTGGGCTGCAGGCATTCCTTGGCCTGGTGGTCAGATTTCTGGCACTTGTAGCAAGCTCCTGGGGGAGGAGGTTCTGGAGGAACGCCTGGCCGCTGCGGTTCAGTTCCCTTCTTGTGTGCTGGAGATGTGGCTGGGGTTTGTCTCACAGTGGAGGCAAGGAATTGCAACTTTTTTCTATTATTGTACACCTTGAAGGCGAGGTTAATTAAATCCTGTTGTGGGGTTTGAGGGCCGGAATTTAATTTTTGGAGTTTTATTTAATGTCGGGAGCAGATTGGGTAATAAAATGTGTATTAAGAATAAGACGGCCTTTTGACTTTTAAGGGTCTAGGGCTGTAAAGCTTCTCAGGGTTGCTGGCGAACGAGCCATGAATTGGGCTGGATTTTTATATTTGATGAAAAAGAGCCTAAACACTATCTGATTTGGGATAAAGAAAAAGGAGCATTAACCTTGACTATGCCTTTAGCTCCAGCCACCTTTCTAAGAGTAAATTGCTGGGCAGGTGGAAGAGGGCTAGTCACTGAACGAAACTGTAAGCTGGACCAGGTGTGGGGAGGGGAGGTGATAAAAAGATAATACGGTGGAGGAGCGGAGGCTGAGGAAGAATTGGGACCTAGCTCAGCCTGGGGAGGAGGGAGAGGTCAGACGGGTCTGTAGAAAAGGAAGATTAGAAAGACTCAGCGACGCTTGGGGTTGAGACTGAGGGGACAGGCAGGAGGGAAAGAAGGAAGATTTGGGACGAGTTGCACTGGGCACAGAGACTAGGAAGGGACTGATGTGTAAAAGAATGCCTGGACGTCAGGCACCTCAGACCGTTTGCCCATTTTACGACAAGAATTATTTAGATCTTGCAGGATGGAAAAATTGAAAGTGCTGTTTTCTGGCTATTTGGAACTGCTGTCCAGTTTGTATTGGGGTCAAGCGGCATTGCAGAAGAAAATAAGGCATTTAGGTTTTAGGTCAGGTGTGAGTTGAAGAGGTTTTAAGTTTTTGAGAACACAGGCCAAGGGAGAGAAGGAGGAGGAATGGAGGGTGGAAGGTTGCCCATAGTGAAGGAGGCAAGCCTAGAGAAAAGAGAGAGTAGAGACACGGAGGGAAGGGGTTCGGGAGTTCTTACCTTCCAGAAAAGCGGGAAAGGGGTTGGGGCATGGATATAAGGGGTTGGGGCACAGAGATAAGAGGTTGGGGCATGGAAATAAGGGATCAGGGTGCAGAGATACGAGGTTGGGGTACTTGCCCCTCTAGAAAAGCGGGACTTGCCGCTAAGAGTGAAGGAGAAGGGGTTGGGGGTTTCTTGCCCCCCAGAAAGGTGGAGAAGGGGTAGAGACATGGAGAGGAGGGGTTGGGGAACTTGCCCCTTCCCCAGAAAAGTGGGACTTGCCACTAAGGGTGAAGGACCAAGGCAGGCATCCCTGCGTGATCTGACACCTCTGAAGCGTGGGTATATAATCAGAGAGGCGTCCCTGCAATGATTAAACGCCAAGGGAAGGCTGCCTTCCCTAGTCCGTGACCGGCGCCGGAGTTTTGGGTCCACAGATAAAACGTGTCTCCTTTGTCTCTACCAGAAAATGAAAGGAATTGAAATTAAGAGAAGGGAGAGATTGAAGAGTGGAAAGGAGAAAGTGGTTGAGGGACAGTGAGAGAGGTTGGAGAAGAGAGTAAGAAGAGGTCGCTTACCCAATTTAAACTTGGTGAGATGTTCCTTGGGCTGGTGGGTCTGAGGACCTGAGGTCGTAGGTGGATCTTTTTCACAGAGCAAAGAGCAAGACAGGGGATTGATCTCCCAAGGGAGGTCCCCCGATCCAAGTCACGGCACCAAATTTCATGTGCGTCCATGTGAAGAGACCACCAAACAGGCTTTGTGTGAGCAATAAAGCTTTTAATCACCTGGGTGCAGGTGGGCTGAGTCCGACAAGAGAGTCAGCGAAGGGGGATGGGGTGGGGCCGTTTTATAGGATTTGGGTAGGTAAAGGAAAATTACAGTCAAAGCGGGGTTGTTCTCTGGCGGGCAGAGTGGGGGTCACAAGGTGCTCTGTAGGGGAGCTTTTGAGCCAGGATGAGCCAGGAGAAGGAATTTCACAAGACAATGTCATCAGTTAAGGCAGTAACAGGCCATTTTCACTTCTTTTGTGGTGGAATGTCATCAGTTAAGGCAGGAACCAGCCATATGGATGTGTACGTGCAGGTCACAGGGGATATGATGGCTTAGCTTGGGCTCAGAGGCCTGACAGCACCTACCTAAAAAATTCCAATAGCACTAAAAGGGTGTGTACAAAATGCAGTGGCTGACTAACCATCTCCTCCATTGCTCCGCCTAAGAGACACCCACTTTTAGCTGTTTTCTTTAGGAACTTGTTAATATTAGGTTTCTAAAAACATGTAACCATGTGAATGAGCTTAGACTTACTGGATTCCTATCATAATAGGCGGGGCCTTAGTTATTCTACAGCGTTGTTCTTACTGTTTTTTCTCTTCCAATGTTTATCTCTATGTCTGCATATCAACATTCAGTATCACATTTTTTTTTTTTGAGACAGAGTCTCACTCTGTCACCCAGGCTGGAGTGCAGTGGCGCAATCTCAGCTCACTGCAGCCTCAGTCTCCTGAGTAGCTGGGACTACAGGCGTGTGCCACCACGACTGGCTAATTTTTGTATTTTTAGTAGAGACAGGGTTTCACCATGTTGGCTGAGCTGGTCTCGATCTCCTGACCTCGTGATCTGCCCACCTCAGCCTCCCGAAGTGCTGGGATTACAGGCATGAGCCACCACGCCCGGCCAGTATCACATGTTTATACCCACAGATATTCGCAGCCGAGAATTTTCGGGTAATATAACTTGCTTCTTTTATTTTTGTTGTTGTTATTGTTCCCCTAAAGTTTATATTTGTTTTTTATTTTTATTTTCTTTTGAGGCAGGGTCTCACTCTGTCACCCAGGTTTGACAGCAGTGGTGCAATCATGGCTCACTGCAGCCTCAACCTCCCCGGGCTCAGGTGATCCCCAACCTCAGCCTCCTGAGTACCTGAGAGTAGGCATGTGGTACCACACCCAGCTAATTTTTTATATTTTTTGTATATGAGACAAGGTTTCACCATGTTGCCCAGGCTGGTCTCGAACTCTTAGGCTCAAGCGATCCCGCCTCAGCCTCCCAAAGTGCTGGGATTACAGGTGTGAGCCACTGTGCCTAGGCTATACTGGTCTTTTTAAAATCTACTTAGTTTACTTGACCTCTAAAATTATTTTTCCTCTGTCTTCTGATAGCATCTCAGTATGATTTTCCACTATGTTAAGACGAGGAATTGACCCATTCTTACATTTGGAGGCTTCTCTAAGCAACTTTCCCATTCCCCCTTCACCCAAGCTGTGTGCTCACTAGCCCTGATTCACAGCCGTCGTCCTGGAACTTCTTGGTGCCATCCTTCTGTCTTTTCCCAAGTGACTCACCTACCTCAACCTCCCAAAGTGCCGGGATTACAGGCGTGAGCCACTGTGGCCAGCCATTCTTTTCCTTTTTTAAAACAATTTTTATCTTCTTTATTTTAAGTAGAGATGGGGTCTCACTATGTTGCCCAGGCTGGTCTTGAACTCCTGGGCTCAAGCGATCCTCCTGCCTTGGCCTCCCACAGTGCTAGGATTACAGACATGATCCACTGCACTTGGCCCAGTGGTACAGTTTTACACTCATTAGATGGTCAAGAAATGCCTAAACGCTATAATAAATATAGAACTTTACCTTGAGAAGACCTAACATTTCCTTCAGAAAGTAAATATGAGAGGGGTGGAGACGGTGCATTATCTTATTTTTATGATTTTAAAAATGTATACAGAATTGTACATATTTATGGGGTGGACAGCAATATTGCAGTACATGTATACAACGTGCTATGATCAAATCAGGGTAATTGACATATTCATCCCTGTATTTTTTGAGACAAAGTCAGGCTTCGTCACCCGAGCTAGAGTGCAGTGGTGTGATCTCAGCTCACTGCAACCTCTGCCTCCCAGGCTCAAGCCATTCTCCCACCTCAGCCCCCTGAGTTGCTGGGAGTATAGGGATGCACCACCACACCTGGCTAATTTTTGTGTTTTTTTGTTTTGTTGGTAGAGATGAGGTTTCACCATGTTGCACAGGCTGATCTTGTTTTCTAATGTGAAGGGAAGCGGGCAACGTGCTAGTTTTACACTAAGGAAAATGAATGACATACCCAAACTGCCTGCAAGACCCGTTCTGAGAGACGAAAGGAGATTTGTTAGACCGCAGTGGGAGATGGAGTGAGGGTGAGAGTTTCTGGGGAAAACCAGACAAGAGCACAGAGGGCCAAAGGGAAGCACGGGAGGATTTTGCACAGAGGATGGAACAGAGTCAACCCTGAGAGCTGGGAACCTTAGAGATCCGTCTGGAGCCCATATTAGAGAGGTTGAAGAAAGAGGCCAGTATGTGGTCCAGCCAGGGTACCATGTCATCCACAGTGTGCAGGGAGGAGGATGGGGTCTCCACAGATTCCTTCCATCCCAAATGGAGGGTGCCCTCAGACAGAGAGGCAGACAGACAGACAGACACTGGCCGAACGGCTCCCTGATGGAACACCAGGAGGAGGCAGCATGGCCTCGTTTCCACAGCTGTAGCCTCTGCCCTCCTGCTTCCACGCTCCACACACGCCAGTCTTTGAGTCGCCTCCCATGCCATGATCCCTCCCTTGGATACGACCGTGCCTGGGGTTCAGCGGTCATGAACATAACCCGCGGCTGTGAACATCCTGTCGGCCTCCATCCTGACCCCCGTTTGATTTCCGGGTCAGCGGGAGGGGCGGGAGGGGCGGAAGCGGCCTCTGCACAGCCCTGCCCCTGTGCCGCAGGCGCTTCCTCCGGCTGTGCCAGTCCTCTGCCAGAAACCCCGCCAGGATTATTAGGATCACAGCCCCGAGGCATATCCGGACCAGGTTGCCCTTGGTGTAGTACTGGCGGGCAGGACCTGGAGGAATGAGGAGAGGCAGGAGCAGGTGAAAGAGCCCACCTCCAGGACCCCCTCCAAGCCACATCTGGGCTTCTCAGAGATCCTATTATTCTCTACTAGCTAGGGGATGCCGCTCACTTTCCTGGAGGGTCCCTCCCTTCCCGAGTAGGGGTCAGGGCCAGATGACCCCAATTCTCTAAGTAGCACCTCTCCCTCCTGTGCTCTCACAGGGCTCTGAGACAACTCCTCCCCAGACACAGATGCTGCCTCGTTATCTGATGCATTGCAAAAGAGAGGACAGTTATAAGGGGTGGGGAAGAGATGGAATCTCTCTTTCTCTGACCCTTTTTAAAATCTCAACCTTCCCACCTGATCTTAATGCCCAATTCTGAACCCCATACGCTGATATTCTGCCTTTACTCTACACACTGGAACCCAAGATCTGAGAGCTGCAGCCCCTGCGTAGACAAAGGAGTTGGCTTTGGTGAAGAGACGGGTGAGAAGGAAGGGGGTCTGGAGAGGATGACTTACTCACCAGCTGGAGAGTCTGACTCCTTTGGACTGGCGGTGATACTCCTAGAAGTCTCTGGGAACCAAACAAAGGCTAAGTGTGAAATGAAACCATATTCCCGCCCCCTGTCACTGTGCCTACTCCGAACACACACACACATGGGGAGGCACAATTCCACAGCATTTAAGAAAAGCATGGGCCGGGCACGGTGCCTCATGCCTATAATCCCAGCACTTTGGGAGGCTGAGGTAGGAGGCTGGCTTGAGTCCAGGAGTTCAAGACCAACCTGAGCAACATAGAAAAACCCTATCTCTACAAAAAAATACAAAAATTAGCCAGGCGTGGTGGCACGTGCCAGTAATCCCAGCTACTCAGTGGAGGCTGAGGCAGGAAGATCACCTGAGCCCTGGGAGGTTGAGGCTGCAGTGAGCCAGGATTGTACCACTGCACTCTAGCCTGGGAAACAGAGCGAGACCCTGTCCAAAAAAAAAAAAGCAAGAACTGTAGAGTCAGGCTGTCCTCCAGATTTGAACCCCAACTCTATCACCTATTAGATGTCAGTTATCTGGCAAGTGACTCAGCATCTGTGAGCCAGTTCCCCATGTGTCCAATAAAATTAACAAGATCCCTTATAGGTTGATGTGAAAGTCAAGATAATAATAATGGTAGAAATATAAAGCACCGTGCTTGACATATGAGCACCTCATACGTGCCAGCTTTTTTTTTTTTTTTTTTGAGACAGAGTCTGGCTCTGTCTCCCAGGCTGGAGTGCAGTGGCCCGATGTCGGCTCACTTCAACCTCCGCCTCCTGGGCTCAAGCGATTCTCCTGCCTCAGCCTCCCGAGTAGCTGGGACTACAGGCGTCCGCCACCACGCCCAGCTAAGTTTTGTATTTTTAGTAGAGATGGGATTTCACCATATTGGCCAGGTTGGTTTTGAACTCCTGACCTTGTGATCCGCCCGCCTAGGCCTCCCAAAGTGCTGGGATTACAGGCGTGAGCCACTGCACCCGGCCTCCAGCTCTCTTATTCCTCAAGTATCTCCTGAGACTCGCCAGGTACTCAGCCATGTGCTGGGCCATGGGAACCCAAATATTAATAAGACATTGTCAGGCCAGGCATGACACTGGCTGAATGCCTGTAATCCCAGCACTTTGGGAGGCCAAGGTGGGCGGATCACCTGAGGTCAAGAGATCGAGACCATCCTGGCCAACATGGTGAAACCCCGTCTTTACTAAAAATACAAAAAATAGCTGGGCATGGTGGCACACACCTGTAGTCCCAGCTACTCAGGAGCCGGAGATTGCAGTGAGCTGAGATCGCAGAGTGAGCCGAAATCACAGATCACAGAGTGAGCAGAGTGAGACTCCGTCTCAAAAACAACAACAAAAAACAAAAAAACCATAAGACATTGTCCATCTGCGGTTCCCAGACTATTGCAGGAGACCAAAAAGTAAAGCGATTTTTTTTTTTTTTTAATACGGAGTCTCACTCTGTTGCCCAGGCTGGAGTGCTGTGGTGTGATCTCAGGTCACTGCAACCTCCAACTCGTGAGTTCAAGCGATTCTCCTGCCTCAGCCTCCCAAGTAGCTGGAATTACAGGTGCCCACCACCACGCCCGGCTAATTTTTGTATTTTCAGTAGAGACGGGGTTTCAGCATGTTGGCCAGGCTGGTCTCCTGACCTCAGGTGATCCACTCACCTTGGCCTCCCAAAGTGCTGGGATTACAGACAAAGCGATAATTTTAATATACTGTAAAAATTGCTGTAATAGGCAGCCCACAAGACACTGAGCGAGAGCAGAGGAAACCATCGATCCAGCCTGGACGGTCAAGGCTTTCTTGAGGAATTGATGCCATGGGGAAATGGAAGAAAAGGCAGAGTGAGTGGGTTGGGTGCAGAGTCAGGAGAGGTTAGGAAGCCTCCAGGAGAGCTTCAAGTGACTGTGTGTGGCTGAGAACAGCATGGGAATGCGTGGAAGGTATGCAGACAAAATTGGAGGGATCAACAGGGGCTGGATATCTAAGCTCACAGAATAGCAAGCTGAGGAATTGGAACTGCATCCTGAGGGTGATTGGGAGGTTCCGAACTGAAGATAGGGAAGGCTTCCATCACAGAACTCCCTGGGATATGCCGGGCGCGGTGGCTCATGCCTCCAATCCCAGCACTTTGGGAGGCCGAGACAGGTGGATCATGAGGTCAGGAGTTCAAGACCAGCCTTCCCAAGATGCTGAAACCCCGTCTCTACTAAAATACAAAAATTAGCCAGGTGTGGTGGCATGCACCTATAATCCCAGCTACTCGGGAGGCTGAGGCAGGAGAATCGCTTGAACCCGGGCAGCAGAGGTTACAGTGAGCCGAGATCGCACCACTGCACTCCAGCCTGGGCGACAGAGCAAGACTCCACCTCAAAAAAATAAAAAATAGAACTACGTGGGATCAGGTGCCTCATGAAAGCCAGAGTCATGTGGGCCCAGTGGAAGTATCTAACCTATTATCAGGGAATCTGTGAAGGTGTTTAGTCTGGAAGGAAATGGAGATTTTCCAGGACAGGCAAGGGGAAAGAGACTGAGGAAAGCGTATCTGCAGAGGCCTGGAGCGGTTAGAAGATGTGCTGTGTCCAGGTGCCTACAGTCTGTGTGCGTCCGAGCATGGGCTCTACCTGGACACAGTGAGGAGCGAGATTAAATACCTGGATCACAGCCGAGTCCAAAGCCTAGGACTTCATCCTGGGAGCAGTGCGTAGGGATGGCGGTCGTCCCGCCACAGCCTTGGCTCCGCCATCTTTGAAATGGCCCCATCACCCAAAACGCTCCTCCTTCTGAACCCCAGAGCTCCACTCTGCACCCATGCTCTAGCCTCACACCAAGGACTTTCTTGGTAAGAGACGGACAGTTCGGTGAAGTGATTAAAAGCCTACAGGCTTAGATAATGGAAGAGAGAGCTCCGTCCTCACACTCCTTTCTGCTGAGCATGAAATGCCTGGTTACTCACCAGTTGTGAAGACTTCGTTTGTGAATGAGACGGTCAGTTCAGCGGTGGCTTCTGAGAATTCTAAGAAAGCAAAACAATGTTAGGTCTTCCCCGTGGTTCCCTATATCCTCTAGATATCTCCATTCCCCTTTTGAGATATCTAGGCTCCCTGAAACCCCTTTCTCTGACACACTGCACAGACACTGAAGACAGACAAATTCGAAAGGTGTAAGACTTATCTTCCATGACCGGCTTAGTAAGAAGCAGATCCGTTCAGCAATTGATAGACACTTGGTTTTTTTTCCACGTTTTGCTGTTATGAATATTGCTGCTGTGAACATTGACGTACAGGTTTTTGTGTGAACATAAGTTTTCTGTTCTCTTGGGTACACACCCAGGGGTGGTGGAATCACTGGGTCATACAGTAACTCTGTGTTTTACTTTTTGAAGAACTACCAGACTTCTTTCTTTTTTTTCTTTTTTTTTTTTTTTTGAGACAGAGTCTCATTCTGTTGCCCAGGCTGGAGTGCAGTGGCGCGATCTCAGCTCACTGCAACCTCCACCTCCTGGGTTCAAGCGATTCTCCTCCCTCAGCCTCCCGAGTAGCTGGGATTACAGGCACCTGCCATCACGCCTGGCCAACTTTTTTTTTTGTACTTTAGTAGAGGCGGGGTTTCACCATGTTGGCCAGGATGGTCTCGATCTCCTGACCTCGTGATCCACCCTCCTTGGCCTCTCAAAGTGCTGGGATTACAGGCTGCGCCTGGCCACAGACTGTTTTTCAAAGCAGCTGCACCATTTTATATTCCCACCAGCAATATAAGAAGGTTCTTCCAAATCCTCACCAATACTTCTTGTCCGTTTGTTTTGTTTTAAAAATCATAGTCATCCTAGTTGGCATGGTGAATTTTATGGTATGTGAATTATATCTCAGTTTGAATAATAAGATGTGGATCCATGTCTTCGTGAGCCTAGAGGAAGAATGAGCTCGTGTTAGCCTCAGAACACGGGATCTCCACCTTCCAACTTAGGCCATTTTCTTTTTTTCTTTTTTTTTTTTTTTTTGAGACAGAGTCTTACTCTGTCGTCCAGGCTGGAGTGCAGTGGTGCAATCTCGGCTCACTGCAAGCTCTGCCTCCCGGGTTCACACCATTATCCTGCCTCAGCCTCCCGAGTAGCTGGGACTACAGGCACCCGCCACCACGCCTGGCTAATTTTTTTGTATTTTCAGTAGAGATGGGGTTTCACCGTGTTAGCCAGGATGGTCTCGATCTCCTGACCTTGTGATCCACCCGCCTCAGCCTCCCAAAGTGCTGGGAATACAGGCGTGAGCCACCGCGCCCGGCCAGGCCATTTTCTTAACCAGGGGCCTCCTGAGGCCACCAAAATATTCCTGAACTGCCTCAGCTGATAAATACGAAGCTCTTGTTGCAGTGGGTACTATCCTGGGAGTCTTTTTATGGTGGAACCAGCTTGGAAAAAACTAGTTTATGCTCAGCTCTCGGTGGCATAATGAGAGTGTGGGTATTATTTGGTCTTTGTTATTTCTCTTCGTGTGAGATGCATTAATAAACCTTTTTTTTTTTTTTCAATTAAAATTTCAGTTCCAGAATCCATGTGCAGGACGTGCAGGTTTGTTACATAGGTAAACGTGTGCCATGGTGGTTTGCTGCACCCATCAACCCATCACCTAGGTATTAAGCCCCACACGCATCAGCTATTTATCCTGATCCTCTCCCTCCCCCAATTCCCCCTACAGGCCCCAGTGTGTGGTGTTCCCCTCCCTGTGTCCATGTGATCTCATTGTTCAGCTGCCACTTACAAGTGAGAACATGCAGTGTTTGGTTTTCAGTTCCTGTGTTAGTTTGCTGAGGATAATGTTTTCCAGCTCCATCCATGTCCCTGCAAAGGACATGATCTCATTCCTTTTTATGGCTGCATAGTATTCCATGGTGTATATGTACTGTATTTGCTTTATCCTTTCTATCATTGATGGGCATTTGGGTTGATTCCTTGTCTTTGCTATTGTGAATAGTGCTGCAATGAACATATGTGTGCATGTATCTTTATAATACAATGATTTATATTCCTTTGGGTATATAACCAGTAATGGGATTGCTGGGTCAAATGGTATTTCTGGCCAGGCGCAGTGGCTCACACATGTAATCCCAGCACTTTGGGAGGCCGAGGTGGGCAGATCACCTGAGGTCAGGAGCTCAAGACCACCCTGGCCAACATGGTGAAACTCCCGTCTCTAGCAAAAATCCAAAAATTAGCCAGGCGTTGTGGCATGCACCTGCAGTCCCAGCTACTCGGGAGGCTGAGGCAGGAGAATCACTTGAACCCTGGAGGCAGAGGCTGCAGTGAGCCGAGATCATGCCCCTGCAATCCAGCCTGGGTGACAGAGTGAGACTCTGTTTAAAAAAAAAAAAAAAAAAAAAAGGTGGCCCTGGTGCGGTGGCTCACGCCTGTAATCCCAGCACTTTGGGAGGCCGAGGCAGGTGGATCACCTGAGGTCAGAAGTTTGAGACCAGCATGACCAACAAGGTAAAACCCCATCTCTACTAAAAGAAAAAAAAAAAAAAAAGCCAGGCATGGTGGCAGGCGCCTGTAGTCCCAGTTACTTAGGAGGCTGAGACAGGATAATTGCTTGAACCTGGGAGGTGGAGGTTGCAGTGAGCCGAGATCGCACCACTGCACTCCAGCATGGGCTATTGAGCAATACTACATCTCAAAAAAAAAAAAAAGGAAAAAGGATTTCTGGTTCTGGGTCTTTGAGGAATCACCACACTGTCTTCCACAATGAACTAATTTACATTCCCAACAGTGTAAAAGCATTCCTATTTCTCCACAGCCTCGCCAGCACCTGTTGTTTCTTGACTTTTGTTGGTTTTTTTTTTTTTTTTTTGAGATGGAGTCTTGCTCTGTCGCCCAGGCTGGAGTGCAGTGGCACAATCTTGGCTCACTGCAACCTCCGCCTCCCGGGTTCACGCCATTCTCCTGCCTCAGCCTCCCGAATAGCTGGGACTACAGGCGCCCGCCACCACGCCCGGCTAATTTTTTGTATTTTTAATAGAGACGGGGTTTCACCGTGTTAGCCAGGATGGTCTCGATCTCCTGACCTTGTGATCTGCCTGCCTCGGCCTCCCAAAGTGCTGGGATTACCGGCGTGAGCCACCGTGCCCGGCGTTTCTTGACTTTTTAATAATCGCCATTTTGACTGGTGTGAGATGGTGTCTAAATGTGGTTTTGATTTGCATTTCTCTAATGATTGGTGATGTTGAGCTTTTTTTTGTATGTTTACTGGCTGCATAAACGTCTTCTTTTGAGAAGTGACTGTTCATGTCCTTTACCCACTTTTTAATGGTTTTTTTTTTCTTGTAAATTTGTTTAACTTCCTTGTAGATTCTGGATATTAGACTTTTGTGAATTGATAGATTGCAAACATTTTCTCCCATTCTGTAGGTTGTCTGTTCACTCTGATGATACTTTCTTTTGCTGAGCAGAAGCTCTTTAGTTTAGTTAGATCCCATTTGTCAGTTTTTGCTTTTGTTACAATTGCTTTTGACGTTTTTGTCATGAAATCTTTGCCCATGCCTGTGTCCTGAATGGTATTACCTAGATTTTCTTCTAGGGTTTTTATAGTTTTCGGGTTTTGCATCCAAGTCTTTCATCCATCTTGAGTTAATTTTTGTACAAGGTGTAAGGAACGGGTCCAGTTTCTATTTTCTGCATATGGCTAGCCAATTCTCCCAGCACCATTTATTAACCCACAGCCAATTTCATACTAAATGGGCATTTCCCTTGAAAACCAGCACAAGACAAGGATGCCCTCTTTCACCACTCCTATTCAACATAGTATTGGAAGTTCTGGCCAGGATAATCAGGCAAGAGAAAGAAATAAAGGATACTCAAATAGGAAGAGAGGAAATCAAACTATCTCTGTTTGCAGATGACATGATCCTATATCTAGAAAACCCCATCATCTCAGCCCAAAAGTTTCTTAAGCTGATAAGCAACTTCAGCAAAGTCTCAGGATACAAAATCAATGTGCAAAAATCACAAGCATTCCTATACACCAACAATAGACAGGCAGAGAGCCAAATCATGAAGGAACTCCCATTCACAATTGCTACAAAGAGAATAAAATACCTAGGAATACAGCTAACAAGGAAAGTGAAGGACATCTTCAAGGAGAACTACAATTCACTGCTCAAGAAAATCAGAGCGGACACAAACAAATGGAAAAACATTCCATGCTCATGGATAGGATGAATCAATATCGTGAAAATGGCCATACTGCCCAAAGTAATTTATAGATTCATTGCTATTCCCATTGAACTATCATTGACATTCCTCACACAATTAGAAAAAACTATAAAATTCATATGGAACCAAAAAAGGGCCCATATAGCCAAGACAATACTAAGCAAAAAGAACAAAGCTGGAGGCCTCAGGCTCAGACTTCAGACTATATTACAAGGTGATAGTAACCAAAACAGCATGGTACTGGTACAAAAACAGACACATAGACCAATGGAACAGAATAGAGATCTCAGAAATAAGACCACACATCTACAACCATCTGATCTTCAACAAACCTGACAAAAACAAGCAATGGGGAAAGGATTCCCTATTTAATACACCTTGTTTTGATTTTGATTTCAACACAGCGTGTGGTATTTGCATGCCATGTGATACAGTTTGAATATGTGTTCCCACCAAATCTCATACTGGATTATGATCCCCAATGTTGGAGGTGGGGGCCTGGTGGGAGGTGTTTGGATCATAGGGGTGGATCCCTCATTGCTTGGTGCTTTCCTTGCAATAGTAAGTGAATTCTCACAAGATCTGGCTATTGCAAAGTGTGGCATGTCCCCCAGTCCCAACTCTCTCTCTCTCTTGCTCCTGCTCCCACCACATGAGACAGCTACCCCCTCTTTGCCTTCTGCCATGACTGTAAGCTTCCTGAGGCCTCCCCAAAAGCAGAAGCCAGCCTTCTGCTTCCTATACGGCCTTCAGAACCATGAACCAATTAAACCTCTTTTCTTATCAATGATCCAGTCTCAGATATTTATAGCAGCACAAAATCGGCCTAATATAGCATGAAATATTGCTCAGCAATCAAAAGGAACACATCATTGATACATACAGCAGCTTGGATGGGCCTCAGGGGCATTGCACTGAGTGACAAAAGGATATCTCAAACGGTTGCATACTGGATGATCCCATTTACATCAGATTCTAGAAATGGAAGATTATAGAGATGGAGAACAAATTAATGGATACCAGGAGTTAGGGATGGCAAGGGAAGGAGAAGGGTGTAGGTGTGAATATAAAAGGGTAGCCCAAGGGAGGCCCTTGTGAGACGGAAGAGTTCTGTACAGTGACTGCGGTGATGGTGACGCGAATCTACAACTGTGACAAATTGGCATAGAACTAGACACCTACTTTATGCCAATGTCAAATTCCTGGTTTTTATGTTGTACTCTAATTACGTAAGATGTAACCATTAGAGGAAACTGGAAAAAGAGCACATGGGATTCTTCTGTTCTATCATTGTAGACTTCCTGTGACTCTAGAACCATTTCAAAAGAGAAAGTTCAAAAATTCAGTCAGAAGCACACGCACACATATGCACGCATGCACACACACACATATGCACGCATGCACACACATATGCACGCACACACACATATGCACGCACACACGCACATGCACGCACACACACATATGCACGCACACAGTATGTGACCATCTTCCATGTCCCTGCCCACTAGGCATAATAGCCCTCACTCTGCCCTCAACCCCGCAAATCTCATCCTTATCAACCTCGGCTCTTTCCAGCATGTTTCTCCTGCCTTGGTGCTTCACTCTGAGACACAGGGAATGTTAGACACGCCCAGCCTCCAGCCTAGCGTATGATATTCTTAAAGTGCAGGCCGTAGTCTGGTACACCGTATTCAGCTGAGATGTTTGTGAAAGTGGAGGGGATAACACGCCTCACACAAAACTTACCGCAGTGGTTCTCAAAGCAGCATTCTGGAGCCATAGCATCAGCATCACCTGGGAACTTACTAGGAATGAAAATGACTGGATTCACCCCAGACCTACTGAAGCAGAAGCCCTGGGGGCTCAGAAATCTATTCTTTAAGCCTCCAGGTGATTCTTATGCTCATGGAAGTTTGAGAACCGCTGATCAATGCATTCAGTGACTCAGAAACAGAGTCCCGGACTCTACAGGTTTGTTGGTTGGTTGGTTGGTTGGTTGGTTGGTTAGTTTGTTTGTTTTTGTCACCCATATTCAACCAGCTGGACTCCACAGTATAGCAAGCCACTCCGATTATTCTTCTGCATGTTATATGTGATAAACCATCCACCTAGAGTAGGATTGGGGGCAGCATCTTAACATCTAACTACTTAGGACACCCACCCTGTTTACAGGCAGAAATAAAGGATTTTTAAAACAAAGCAAATCTGTGAAAGAACCAACTGAATTAAATCGAGAAGTCTAGGCAGAGAGGAGAGAGAGAAGGGGTCCGTGTACCTCATACGCTGTGCACCAGAATGGACCCTGCAGAACCTACCTGCTACCGGGGAAGGTGGTTCTGTTGGTAACCGGCTGGGGGTCACAGAGGTTCCTGGGAAATCAGAAAATGAGATAAATCTGTGCTCTGTCGCTGTGGGTCCTGAACAAATAACGAAACATCTCCGTGACTGAGTTTCCTCACCGGAAAAATGAGCCTAAAGTAGCTTACATCACTGGACTGTTGTGGATGTTAATAAGCATTTGAGCTGGGTGCAGTGCCTCATGCCTGTAATCCCAGCACTTTGGGAGGCTGAGGAGGGCAGATCACTTGAGGTCAGGAGTTCAAGCCCAGCCTGGCCAGTATGGTGAAACCCCGTCTCCACTAAAAATACAAAAATTAGCCAGGCGTGGTGGTGTGCACCTGTAATCCCAGCTGCTCGGGAGGCTGAGGCAGGAGAATCACTTGAACCTAGGAGGCAGAGGTTGCAGTGATCTGAGATCGCACCACTGCACTCCAGCCTGGGTGACGCAGTAAGACTCCATCTGAAAAAAAAAGGCTTAGCCAGGCGTGGTGGCTCACACCTGTAATCCCAGCACTTTGAGAGGCCGAGGCAGGCAGATCACCTGAGGTCAAGAGTTCAAGACCAGCCTGGCCAACATGGTGAAACCCTGTCTCTACGAAAAATACAAAAATTAGCTGGGCATGATGGCAGGTGCCTGTAATCCCATCTACTCAGGAGGCTGAGGCAGGAGAATCGCTTAAACCCAGGAGGTGGAGGTTGCAGTGAACTGAGATCACTCCACTGCACTCCAGCCTGGGTGACAAAGTGAGACTCCCCCCAAAAAAAAAAAAAAAAAAAAAAGCAGCAGCATTTGTAAAGCACACCTGGCACATTCTGGGCTATTAACAAGGAAATGCATGCAGCTCCCGTCCACCTTTTTCAACCTCAGTTCTATTTCTTCTGGATTCCTGTGTCCTACCCCTCACTGTGACCCTGGGGGCAAAACAGATTTTTCTACCAAAAACTAAATGATGTATTTTGTTTGATTTAATATGACATTGTTAAATGTACTGATCAGTGGCGTTGGGTATGTTCACATTGTGGTACAATATGTTGACCTCTAGAACTTATTTTTCTTGCAAAACTGAAATTCTGTGCCCATTAAACACTAATTCCTTCTCTCTCCTCTTTCTGGCCCTTAACAACCACCATTGTACTTTGTGTTTCTACAGTGTTGACATTAGATACCTCCTTTGACTAGAATCATACAGTAGTTGTCCTTTTGTGACTGACTTAGCATAATGTCCTCAAGGTATATCCATGTTGTAGTATGTGTCAGAATTTCCTTCTTTTTTAAGGCTGCATAATATTCCATTGCATGTATATAACCACATTATGAGGTATGCTGCTCTTTTTTGAAAGAAACCCCCTTTAAGAATGGTAGTCAAGTCCGACGCGGTGGCTCACGCCTGTAATCCCAGCACTTTGGGAGGCCGAGGCGGGCAGATCATGAGGTCAGTTCAAGACCAGCCTGACCAACATAGTGAAACCCCGTCTCTACTAAAAATACAAAAATTGGCCGGGCATGGTGGCAGGCACCTGTAATTCCAGCTACTCGAGAGGCTGAGGCAGCAGAATCGCTTGAACCCGGAAGGCGGAGGTTGCAGTGAGCTGAGATCGCGCCACTGCACTCCAGCCTGGGTGACAGAGTGAGACTTCGTCAAAAAAAAAAAAAAGAAACCTCCATTCTCCCAGCTGCCTGTAGCCCAGGGCTTCCTGCCCTCCCACTTCCTTCCCACCTCTGGCCCCGCCCCTGCAGCCCAGGGCTTCCTGCCCTCCCACTTCCTTCCCACCTACGGCCCCGCCCCTGCAGCCCAGGGCTTCCTGCCCTCCCACTTCCTTCCCACCTACGGCCCCGCCCCTGCAGCCCAGGGCTTCCTGCCCTCCCACTTCCTTCCCACCTACGGCCCCGCCCCTGCAGCCCAGGGCTTCCTGCCCTCCCACTTCCTTCCCACCTACGGCCCCGCCCCTGCAGCCCAGGGCTTCCTGCCCTCCCACTTCCTTCCCACCTACGGCCCCGCCCCTGCAGCCCAGGGCTTCCTGCCCTCCCACTTCCTTCCCACCTCTGGCGCCGCCCCTGCAGCCCAGGGCTTCCTGCCCTCCCACTTCTTTCCCACCTATGGCCGCGCCCCTACAGCCCAGGGCTTCCTGCCCTCCCACTTCCTTCCCACCTACGGCCCCGCCCCTGCAGCCCAGGGCTTCCTGCCCTCCCACTTCCTTCCCACCTACGGCCCCGCCCCTGCAGCCCAGGGCTTCCTGCCCTCCCACTTCCTTCCCACTTATGGCCCCTCCCTTGGAATGGCCATCAGGACCTATAAAGGCTGAGGAAGAAAGGTTTGGTCTGCACTACCCCTACCTGTGACCACAAGCTCCAGGGGGTCGCTGGGGGCTGACCACAGGTATGGGTCCCTGCTGGAGAAGCTGTAGCATCGGTAGGTTCCGCTGTGGGCGGCGGTCACCGTGATGATGGGAAAACTAGCCCTGTACCATCTCTCGGGATTCTTGTAGGGCGCAGGGTCCCCTTCCTTGTACAGAGCAAATTGGTCAAAGCCATACCGAGTCTGACACTGTAGGGTTACGTCCCCTCCTGACGACACCGCCGGGCCGGGCTGGGCTGAGAGCGAGGGTTTGGCAAAAACTCCTGGGAGAAAAAGAAAGTCTGATGTTGAAGGCAGGAGCCAGCATCTCAGCTGAGACTGGGGAGGTCCCCACACCTGCCTAAGAGCTGGGGAGCTTTTTGGCTGTATCCCTCCCAGAGAGCGCACTCCCCCACCCAAGCTCACAGAGAGGTCGAGTCACCCAGTGGTTGAGGAAGGAGGCTGTGCTCACGTCCTAGTGCTTGGGTGCAAATCCTAGTTCTGCCTTCAGGGGCCTGGTGGCCCTGGAGACAAATCTCCCTCTGTATCTGAGCCTCACTGCCTTGTTCTGTTAAAATGGGGATGACTGAATGAGACAGTACACAGTAATTTGCAGAGTGCCTGTTGCCTAGCAAGCGCTGGAGTAAGTAAATAGCTTAAGCTTATACTGTGCTGTAAGCTTGTATTGCCACATACAATTGTTACGTTGTAAATGTGGCTGACAGTGCTAGCTTCCGGGTGCCTTCCAAACTTATGATGTATATCAGTTCAGTGAATCCTCAGAGACCTATGGAGTCCTCACTCTTAATGTCCCTATTTTATAAATGAAACTAAGGCACATGGCATTAAATAATTTGTCCAACTCTAGGTAACAATACTGCAGTGTACAGCTGAAATTTGCTAAGAGGGTAGATTATAAGTATTCTCACACACAAAAAAGTTAACTGTGTCAGGTGATGTATGTTAATTAGCTTGCTAGTAGTAACTGTCTCACAGTGGATTCGTATATCAAAACATCAACTTGTACACCTTGGATATATTCCATTTTTGTTTTTCAATTATACCTCAACAAAGCTGGACATATTTTAATTTAAAAATAAATAAAAAACTTGTCCAAGATCATAAGTGGCAGAGTTGAAATCTGCACTCACAGAGTTTGATTCCAGGGTCTCCGCTCCTAAACACGAACCTACACTACTCTGATGTGAGGTTGTTGTCATAGACCGGTGTGGTGATGCATGCCTGCACACAGGAGTCAGAAAAACAAAGGTTGAGGCTGGGTGCGGCGGCTCACACCGGTCATCCCAGCACTTTGGGAGGCCAAGGTGGGAGGATCGCTTGAGCCCAGGAAGGCGAGGCTGCAGTGAGCTATGATCACTGTACACTAGCCTGGGTGACAGAGTGAGACCTTGTCTCAAAAAAAGACAGAGAGAGAAAGCAAAAGAAAGGAAGTAAGGAAGATAAAAATATAAGCTGCCTAATAATTATGGCATTCACTCAACAAGAAGAAAAAGAAAGAAAGAGGAAGGAAGGGAGGGAGGGAGGAAGGAAGGAAGGAAATATATAAGCTGCCTGATAACTGTAACATTCACTCAGCAATATTTTCTCTTAATTTTCACTTAAGCAACTATTATGTGTCTGTCTGTATTCTTTTTTTGTTGTTTCATTTGTTTTGTTTTGTTTTGTTTTGTTTTGAGACGGAGTCTCGCTCTGTCACCCAGGCTGGAGTGCAATGGCATATATATATATATATATATATATATATATATATATATATATATATATATATATATATATTTTTTTTTTTTTTTTTTTTTTTTTTTTTTTTGGGAAACAGAATCTCACTCTGTTGCCCAGGCTGGAGTGCAGTGGCATGATCCCAGCTCACTGCAACCTCCACCTCCTGGGTTCAAGCGATTCTCCTGCCTCAGCCTCCCGAGTAGCTGGGACTACAGGCATGCACCACCATGCCCAGTTAATTTTGTATGTTTAGTAGAGACAGGGTTTCACCATGTTAGCCAGGCTGATCTCGAACTCCTGACCTCAGGTGATCCGTCCACCTCGGCCTCCCAAAGTGCTGGCATTACAGGCGTGAGCCACCGTGCCCGACCAGGAATTAAAAATAGACAACCACCACCAAGATAAAAAAAGGTATACTTCACATACCAGATAGTGAGGAGGGCCACTTTGACTAGGGTGGTGGGGGATATACTTAGCGAGAAGAGAGTATTTGAGTCTGACCCTGAAAGAAGTAATGAGGCAGCCAGGCTGGTCCATTCTAGTAGCAGAGAGGAGGCCAGTGATGCTGTGGAGGGGAGTGAGGCAGGGAAGAGGGGAGGGAGGCAGGATTTATAACGCGGAATAGACCACAGTGCAGCTGGCCAGGAATTAGGGTGGCGTGAGTGAGGCACTCTCCTGGGATGTAAAATTTAATTATTCCCAAACAATTAACATATTTGAAAAAATTATTGAAAATTTGAAGAGTAGGTCGTTAAAACTCACATTATTCTGTTTGAATACTTTATTCCCCTGAAAGATTTATTAGAATTTTACATTCTAGGCTTTTGTGGATGCAAGCGCATCAGTGCTATTTCCAAAACCTACTTCTAGAAAATAACCATTTAAAAGTGCACTAACTGGGTGCACCTATAGTCCCAGCTACTAGGGAGGACCACTTGAGCCCAGGGATTTGAGGCTAAAGTGAGCTATGATCATGCCTGTGAATACAGCGAGTGTACTAAAGCCTGGGCAACATAGTAAGACCTCTTCTCTTTTTTTTTTTTTCCCAAGACGGAGTCTTGCTCTGTCGCCCAGGCTGGACTGCAGTGGTGCAATCTCGGCTCACCGCCTCCCAGGTTTAAGCGATTCTCCTGCCTCAGCCTCCGGAGTAGCTGGGATTACAGGAGTGCGCCACCGCGCCCAGCTAATTATTATTATTTTTTTTAGTAGAGACGGGGTTTCACCATGTTGGCCAGGCTGGTCTCAAACTCCTGACCTTAAGTGATCCACCCACCTCAGCCTCCCAAAGTACTGGGATTACAGGCGTGAGCCGCCGCGCCCGGCCCAACCTCTTCTCTTAAAAAAAATAAATAAATAAGAAAAGAAATTAGAATATTTGCACCAATCAAGAGTCTAAGGAGACATAAATACTAAATGCACTGTGGGGCCCTGGACGGGGTCTGGGAACAGAAATAGGATATTAGTGGAAAGACTGGTGAAATTCAAATAGCCTGGAGTTTACTTGATATAATATAGTTGTGTCTATGGTTAGTTTTTTGTTTGTTTTTTGATACAGGGTCTCACTCTGTCACCCAGGCTGGAGTGCAGTGGCGTGATCACAGCTCCCTGCAGCCTCGGCCTCCCTGGCTCAAGCGATCCTCCTGCCTCAGCCTCCTGAGTAGCTGGGACTATAGGTGTATGCCACCATGCCCCACTAATTTTTAATTTTGTTTAAAGATGAGGTCTCACTATGTTGCCCAGGCTGGTCTTGAACTCCTGAGCTCAAGCAATCCTCCCGCCTCAGCCTCCCAAAGTGCTGGGATTACAGGTGTAAACCACTGGGACCAGTGCTACGTTTATTTTTTGGTTGTAACAAATGTAAGATGTTAACATGAGGGGATCCTGGGTGAAATATTTCCATTAATATTATCTTTGGAACTTTTCTGTCAGTCTAAAAATTACTCCAAAACAAAGTTTTAAAAAGAATCCCGAGCCAAGCACGGTGGCCCGTGACCGTAGTCCCTGCTACTCATGAGGCTGAGGCAGGAGGATTGCTCAAGGCAAGGAGCTCCAGGCTGCAGTGAGCTATGACTGCTCCTATGAACAGCCACTGCACTCCGGCCTGGGCAGTGTAGCAAGACCCCATCGCTAATTTTTTTAAGTGCATTAAAACACAGATAAAGGGTTGCCTGTTTTTCGTTTTGGCACAGACTCTGGTATGACTTGACACAGGCACTGGCTGATTCTGCCTTTATTTGAAATTCTGGTTTTTTTCATTGTGGATGTTTTTGCAATTTATTTTGATTTTTTTAAAAATTGCATGAAAATGTTATTCACAGCCAGATGCAGTGGCTCACGCCTGAAATCCCAACACTTTGGGAAGCCAAGGTGGAAGGATAGCTTGAGCCCACAGGAGTTCGAGACCAGCCTGAGCAACATAGCGAGACCCTATCTCTCTCTCTTTTGTATTTTAATGCCTTTTGTGAAAACTGTCAAGAGACCCCATCTCTATAAAAACATAAAAAATGAGCTGGGCGTGGTGGTGCACACCTGTAATCCTAGCTACTTGGAGGGCTGAGGCGGGAGAATCGCTTGAGCCCTGGAGGTGGAGGCTGCAGTGAGCCAAGATCGCGCCACTGCTCTCCACCCTGGGTGACGCAGCAAGACCCTGTGTCCAAAAAACAAAATATTATTCACATTGATCCATAAATGTCGTGGCACCACCACCCGCTAGGCCAGTGCCTCGTTTGCCTCACCCTAATCCCTGCCCTCAATGTCCCCCGTATTTGTGTCCTGAACGGAGGACCACGCAGTCCCAGGCTCCGATCCCCCTTCCTTTACCCGTGGCAACGAGCTCCAGCTGGTCGCTGGGCAGGGACCAGAGGCTTCCGTTCTGGTAGGAGCAGCGGTAGCGTCCAGCCAGACTTCTCTTCATGGCCGGGATGAAGAGGACTGCCTGATCCTGGTACCTGCTGGAACTCAGCTTCTCCAGGCGGTACAGGTCCACGCCCGGAGGTCCCTGGCACCGGAGGGTCACTGGCTTCTCCAGGGGCACCAGGGAGCTGGGCAGAGCCTGGAGGGAGGGCTTGGGGAGCGGTCCTGGAAGAGGAGCAGGGCTGGGTCAGCCTCCCCGCAGACCCCGCCTGGACCCCGCTGCTCCCGCGCTGGCGGATCCCGCAGGAGGGAAGGGGTCTGGGGAAGGACTCACCACTCTGCGCTGGCACACGCCCCAGACACAGCCCTGAGGAAAGAAGAAAGGGACCAGATGCCAGGACTCGCTTTTATGGACATTCCTGCCTGCTGGGCGCGGTGATAAGACATTTGCATGCATATGCTTTACTCTGTCCTAATAATTTCTTCAAAAGACACACAGGAATGTAATTTAAGTGAGAGAAACCGGTCAGAAAAAGCCACATAGTTTATGAGGTCATTTACATGAAATATCCAGAATAGGTAAATCTATAGGAGATGGAGAAGAAAGCAGATCCATGGCTGGGGGTGGTGGGAGAGGAGGGCAAGGCATGGTGGCGTACTGCTCTCTGTGGACTTGTTCGTGTTAGACACGGTGGGCTCGTTCGTGTTAGACACGGTGGACTCGTTCGTGTTAGACACGGTGGGCTCGTTCGTGTTAGACACGGTGGGCTCGTTCGTGTTAGACACGGTGGACTCGTTCGTGTTGTGTTAGACACGGTGGACTCGTTCGTGTTAGACGCGGTGGACTCGTTCGTGTTAGACACGGTGGACTCGTTCGTGTTGTGTTAGACACGGTGGACTCGTTCGTGTTGTGTTAGACACGGTGGACTCGTTCGTGTTAGACACGGTGGGTTCGTTCGTGTTAGACACGGTGGGTTCGTTCGTGTTAGACGCGGTGGGTTCGTTCGTGTTAGACGCGGTGGACTCCTTCGTGTTGTGTTAGACACGGTGGACTCGTTCGTGTTAGACACGGTGGACTCGTTCGTGTTAGACACGGTGGACTCGTTCGTGTTAGACACGGTGGACTCGTTCGTGTTGTGTTAGACACGGTGGACTCGTTCGTGTTGTGTTAGACACGGTGGGCTCGTTCGTGTTGTGTTAGACACGGTGGACTCGTTCGTGTTGTGTTAGACACGGTGGGCTCGTTCGTGTTAGACGCGGTGGGCTCGTTCGTGTTAGACGCGGTGGGCTCGTTCGTGTTGTGTTAGACACGGTGGGCTCGTTCGTGTTGTGTTAGACACGGTGGGCTCGTTTGTGTTGTGTTAGACACGGTGGGCTCGTTCGTGTTAGACATTGCCCATTGACTTCCTCAGTGGATGTGAGGAATGGGACCTGAGACATTGCTGTCCCTTCGTTTCCTCCCTTCAGTCTCCCAATATTAAATAATATCCAAGTACATTACAATAGTATGCAATTGTATAGACAAGTATTGTAAATACTATTGCATATTGTATATTATTGTATTTTATTGTCTATGTAATATATGCGATAAAACCCCACACTAATGGGATGCATTGGGCTCCAAGGATGGAGCAGGATGGAGCCTCAGCGTGTAAGTCAGGACGTCTCAGCATGTGCTGGCCATGGGTTTCCCGGTATTTACAACATTTGCTTGAATCAGTATTCCATGATTACATGATAGGATATAATATATATAATAATCGTTTCAAATAGCCTGAAGGAGGATGGGGAAAGTTCCCAACACAGAAAGGATGCATGTTTGAGAAGATGGGTGTGCTACTTACCCTGATCTGATTACTATATGTATATACACATATAGTGCATATATGTAAACCTACATCTATACATACATGTGTATGTACATATACACGTGTGTACATACACACGTGTATATGTATGTATATGTATATATGTATGCATGTGTGTGTGTGTGTGTGTGTGTGTGTATACATATGTATACAAATACATGTACATAAGCGATCCCCTCCTGGAATTGCTTGAGCCCAGGAGGTCAAGTCTGCTGTGAGGTAAGATTGCACCACTGGCCGGGCACGGTGGCTCATGCCTATAATCCCAGCACTTTGGGAGGCCAGGGTGGGCGGATCACAAGGTCAGGAGTTCAAGACCAGCCTGGTCAACATGGTGAAACACCATCTCTACTAAAAATACCAGAAATTAGCTGGGCATGGTGGCACGTGCCTGTAATCCTAGCTACTGGGGAGGCTGAGTCAGGAGAATCACTTGAACCCGGGAGGCGGAGGTTGCAGTGAGCCAAGATCACGCCACTACACTCCAGCCTGGGCAACAGAGCAAGACTCCATCTCGAGGAAAAAAAAAAATGATATTGCCCCATTGCACTCCAGACTGACAACAGAGCAAGACCCTGTCTCAGAAAACGAAGAGGAGGAGGAAAAAAAAAGTACTAATTATCTGAAATTCCAATTTAACCAGGCATCCAGTGTTTTATCTGGTAACCCTCATTCTTACACACACACACACACACACACACACACAAAGGCGGGATAGTTGTCATTCCCACTGTAAACATAAGGAAACTGGGCAGAGGCCAAGCAACCTTGTGTAGCTCACATAGCAAGAAGTGGGTGAACCCAGCTCATGTCTTGACTCTGAGCTCAGAGAGTGACAACTTGTCACCAGCGCCCCCATAGCCACCACCCTTTGTCCACCCCAGGCTCCCTCTGCACCCCAACGCAAGCTCCGGCCGCTTCTCTGTCCCCCTCCTCCTGCCGCATCACAGCCCACCTCAGCCTCTTTGTAGGTTTCCATGCGACGCTGTACCATGGCTGGGAGTCTTCCAGGCGCCGTGCTGAGCGCCTTCTGTGCATGGACTCCAAGTCGCCATAATCGTACGGGTTACCCACCATTATCAGTCCCCTCTTATACATCAGGCTAGTGAGACAGTATCTTATCCACAGTCCTACAGCTGGCAGGAGTAGATTCAAACCCTAGCAGCACCAATTAGTGGTAAAGAGTGTGGACTTGGGAACTTACAGGAGTAGAGAGCACAGTGGTGGTTACCGGGGCGGTGGGGTAAGGTTTGGGGAGATGTTGGTCAGAGGAGGACAGTTTCAGTTGGACAAGAGGAGTATGTCTTGGAGATCTACTGCACATCATGGTGACTGTAGTTAATAACAACATATTGTACACTTGCATATCACCGATAGTAGATTTTAAATGTTCTCACCGGCCGGGCGCGCTGGCTCACACCTGTAATCCCATTTTGGGAGGCCAAGGTGGGCGGATCACCTGAAGTCAGGAGTTCGAGAGCAGCCTGACCAACATGGTGAAACCCTGTCTCTACTAAAAATACAAAAATTAGCGGGGCGTAGTGGCAGGAGCCTGTAATCCCAGCTACTTGGGAGGCTGAGGCAGGAGAATCGCTTGAACCTGGGAGGTGGAGGTTGCAGTGAGCCAACGTCATGCCACTGCGCTCCAGTCTGGGCAACAGAGTGAGACTCCATGTCAAAAAATAAAAATAAATAAAAATAAATGAGCGTGGAATACTACTCAGCCATTAAAAGGAGTGAAATAATGTCTTTTGGCCAGGCACAGTGGCTCACATCTGTAATGCCAGCACTCTGGGAGGCCGAGGTGGGTGGATCACGAGGTCAAGAGATCAAGACCATCCTGCCCAACATGGTGAAACCCCATCTCTACTAAAAATACAAAAATTAGCCGGGCATGGTGGCGGGTGCCTGTAGTCCCAGCTACTCGGGAGGCTGAGGCAGGAGAATCACTTAAACCCGGGAGGTGGAGTTTGCAGTAAGCCGAGATCACACCACTGCACTCCAGCCTTGGTGAGAGAGCGAGATTCCGTCTTTAAAAAAAAAAAAAAAAAGTCTTTTGCAGCAACTTGGATGGAGCTGGAAGGCATTATTCTAAGTAAAGTAATACAGGAGTGGAAAACAAAAATCTGTATATTCTCACTTATAAGTGAGAGCTAAGCTGTGGGTATGCAAAGGCATGCAGAGTGATGTAATGGACTTCAGAGACTCAGAAGGGAAGGGCAGAAGTGGGGCAGGGATGAAAAACTACACATTAGGTACAAGGTACACTAGTCAGGTGACAGGTGCACTAAAATCTCAGAATTCACCAGAATATAATTCATCCATGTAACCAAGAACCACTTGTATCCCAAAAGCTACTGAAGCAACAAGCCAGATGCAGTAACCTGTACAGGCCACACCTGTAACCCCAACACTTTGGGAGGCCGAGGTGGGTGGATCGCTTGAGCCCAGGAGTTCAAGACCAGCCTGGGCAACATAGCGGACCCCCGTAACTAAAAAAATTACAAAAACAAGCCAGGCATGATGGTGTACAACTGTAGTTCCAGATACTCAGGAGGCTGATGGGGAGGCACTGGTTGAGCCTGGGAGGTTGAGGCTGCAGTGAGCCATGATCATGCCACTGCCCTCCTGCCTGGGTGACAGAAGTGAGGCCCTATCTCAAATAAAATTAAATAAATAAAAGTTAAAACAGGCTGGGTGCGGTGGCTCACGCCTGTAATCCCAGCACTTTGGGAGGCCGAGGCGGGTGGAACCTGAAGTAAGGAGCTTGAGACCAGCCTGGCCAACATGGTGAAACCCCGCCCCTACTAAAAATACAATAATTAGCCAGACCTGGTGGCAGATGCCTGTAATCCCAACTATTCGGGAGGCTGAGGCAGGAGAATCACTTGGACCCGGGAGGCAGAGTTTGCAGTGAGCTGAGATCATGCCATTGCATTCCAGCCTGAGCGACCGACTGAGCGAGACTCCATCTCAAAAAACAAACAAAAAGAAAAAAAGAATACATCCATGGATGGATAATGAATGAGAGGTTGTTTATATTCACAGTTAACCCTCTCATCTCCAGTAATGCAACCATCTTCTTCCTGCTTAGCCTTTTGGAGATGCTGTCCCTTTAGTGGTCAAATTCTGAAGAAATCAGGAAATAATGCATTCGACATGCCCAGCACAAGTGAAGATCAGGCAGCAGAAATGCATTCGACCTGCCACCCATCCATCAGGAGACTATTTACTCCACTACTGTAGGGGATACTGACAAATTAAATCCATACCTAGTCCAGATATCAATTCCACAATTTTTTTTTTTTTTTTTTTGAGACGGAGTTTCGCTCTTGTTGCCCAGGCCAGAGTGCAATGGTGTGATCTTGGCTCACCGCAACCTCCACCTCCCAGGTTCAAGCGATTCTCCTGCCTTAGCCTCCAGAGTAGCTGGGATTACAGGCATGTGCCACCACACCCGGCTAATTTTGTATTTTTAGTAGAGATGGGGTTTCTCCATGTTGGTCAGGCTGGTCTCAAACTCCCGACCTCAGATGGCCCACCCGCCTCGGCCTCCCAAAGTGTGTAAGCCATGGCACTCAGCCTTTTTTTTTTTTTTTTTTTTTTTTTTTGAGATGGAGGCTCTCTCTGTTGCCCAGGCTGGAGTGCAATGCCTGACCTCAGCTCACTGCAACTTCTGCCTCCCAGTTTCAAGCAATTCTCCCACCTCAGCCTCCCACGTAGCTGGGATTACAAGCACCCGCCATCACGCCCGGCTAATTTTTGTAGAGATGGGGTTTCACCATGTTGACCAGGCTGGTCTTGAACTCCTGACCTCAGGTGATCCACCCACCTCGGCCTCCCAAGGTTGAGATTACAGGCGTGAGCCACTGTGCCTGGCCCACATTTTTTAAAAAAGGGGCAACTGCAGTGTAGTAGAACAAAGTTGTGACCAATGCTAGGATACTCTGTTCATTTCCTGACCCAGCCATGAATACACTGGAATAACTCATGCAAAATGCCAGCTCGCTGGCCCCCCGTTTCCCCACCCAACAAATGAAGGGGCTCTTACAGGTTCCTTTTTGTCCTGAAATTCATCACCAATGCAAATTTCTTAAAAATCCTTTGTCTGGCAGTCCATGCCTGTCCTTCAGCATTTCCCAGATCTGACCCTCAGGACTCACCAAGACAGAAGAGGGCGGTCGGGGATGGAGACATGGTTCCTCAGCCCTGTCCTGAGCTCTGTGGCCAGGGAGGGAAGTGGTGGGAGCCTGGGGCACAGGCTCAGGATGTGATGAGGATGAAGAATGCTCTCCTCCCTTCCTCCACCAGCCCCGGCCTTTCCTAATTGAGACTCATCGAGCCGTAGCCGGCTCCTCAGTACAGTGACTTGCACACAAGCTCCAAGGAGCCGCGCTTATCTCCTCTGGCCAGCCTGGCGTTGCACCGTTTGTCCGCCTGCTGGGGCCTGGTCTGTGTTCCCGTGCTCCCATAAACTCCCTGATGTCACTAGGAAAATACGCATCAAAACCACAGTGAGATATGACTTCACACCTTCTGGAATGGCTGTATTTTTTTTTTTTCTTTTGAGACAAAGTCTCGTTCTTTTTGCCCAGGTTGGAGTGCAGTGGCGCCATCTCGGCCCACTACAACCTCCACCTCCCAGGTTCAAGCGATTCTCCTGCCTCAGCCTCCCAAGTGGCTGGGATTATAGGTATGTACCACACCAGGCTAATTTTTGTATTTTTAGTAGAGATGGGGTTTCACTGTGTTGGCCAGGCTGGTCTTGAACTCCTGACCTCAGTTGATCCACCTGCCTCGGTCTCCCAAAGTGCTGGGATTACAGGCATGAGCCACTGCACCCGACCGGCTATAATTTTTTTTAATGGAAAACAGCAGATATTGGTGAGTATGCAGAGAAATTGAACTGCGCGTGCATTGCTGGCAGGGACGTAACATGGCGCCCCTGCTGTGGAAAACAGTTCCAGCAGCTCCTCCAGAAGTTAAACGTGGGATTGCCATAAAATCCAGCAATTCCACTTCGGGGTACACACCTAAAAGAACTGAAAACAGGGTCTCTAACATATTTGTACACAGTGTTCATAGCAGCTTTATTCACAATAGCCAAAAGGTGAAACCACCCACATGTCCATCAACAACAATGGATAAACAACATGTGGTATATACACACAAGGTAATATCAACCAGCCTTAACTAAAAGAATAAAAATCAGCCAGGCACAGTGGCTCACGCCTGTAATCCCAGCACTTTGGGAGGCCGAGGCGGGCGGATCACCTGAGGTCAGGAGTCCGAGACCAGCCTGGTTAACATGGTGAAACCCCATCTCTACTAAAAATACAAAAATTAGCTGGGCGTTAAATTAGCCGGGCATGGTGGCAGGTGCCTGTAATCCCAGCTACTTGGGAGACGGAGGCATGAGAATCGCTTGAACCTGGGAGGCAGAGATTGCGGTAAGCCGAGATCGCACCACTGCACTCCAGCCTGGGCGGCAGAGTGAGACTGTCTCAAAAATAAAAATAAGGCCGGGCGTGGTGGCCCATGCCTGTAATCCTAGTACTTTAGGAGGCTGAGGCAGGCAGATTGCCTGAGCTCAGCAGTTCAAGACCAGCCTGGGCAACACAGTAAAACCCCCAAAAAATACAAAAAAAAAATAGCCGGGCATGGCGGCAGGCACCTGTAGTCCCAGCTACTCCGGAGGCTGAGACAGGAGAATGGCTTGAACCCGGGACGCGGAAGTTGCGGTGAGCCGAGATCGCGCCATTGCACTCCAGCCTGGGTGACAGAGCGAGATTCTGTCTCCAAAAAATAAAAAATATTATAAAAGAATAAATTCAGATACATGCTACAACGTGATGGACCTTGAAGACATTATGCTAAAGGAAATATTCCGGACTTGACAGATAAATACTGCATTGTGCCGCTTATCTGAGGTATCGAGAGGAGTCAAATTCATAGAGACAGGGATTAGAATGGTGGTTGCCAAGGCCTGGGAAAAGTGGGGAGTTACTATTTAATAGGGAGCGCTTAGGTTGAAGATGATGACAAAGTCTGGGGGATCCATAGTGGTGATGGTTACACAACACTGTAAATGTATTTATATTTAATGCCATTGACTGTTTTTTGTTTTTTGGTTTTTTGAGACGGAGTCTCACTCTGTCGCCGAGGCTGGAGTGCAGTGGCGCGATCTTGGCTCACCGCAACCTCCGCCTCCCAGGTTCAAGCGATTCTCCTGCCTCAGCCTCCTGAGTAGCTGGGACTACAGGTGCGTGCCACCATGCCTAGTTGATTTTTTGTATTTTTAGTAGAGACGGGGTTTCACCGTGTTAGCCAGGATGGTCTCGATCTCCTGACCTTGTGATTTGGCCTCCCAAAGTGCTGGGAATACAGGCATGAGCCACCGCGCCCGGCCAGTGCCGTTGACTTGTATGTGCACTTACAGGTGGTTAAAATGAGAACTATCAGGGTGTTGATATCTAAAAACCTCCCTGCCATCATCTTCCCTACATCTCTCATTCAGTGACCATGGTTGAATGCCTGCCACCTTTCAAATATTATGTCAGGCACTCAGTATTGGCAGTTTTATCCATTATAAATGCTTTAAGCTGCATAGAATTTTAAACGTGTTAATAAAAGTAGTTATAAATCTTTAATACATAAGCTGGCTTTAAAATTATTGGTAAAATAAGATTAGAAATGTCTTAAGAATTGTTGGCGTTTTTGTTTGCACTTATTGAACGAGTGGTTTCATGCTTATCCCTGCAGAATACTATGAGATTTGTCATAAGGGTTATAAAACTATAAACCCGGCTGGGCGTGGTGGCTCACGCCTGTAATCCCAACACTCTGGGAGGCCGAGGCAGGCAGATCACCTGAGGTCGGGAGTTTGAGACCAGCCTGACCAACATGGAGAAACGCCATCTCTACTAAAAATACAAAATTAGCTGGGTGTGGTGGCGCATGCCTGTAATCCCAGATACTCAGGAGGCTGAGGCAGGAGAATCGCTTGAACCCGGGAGGCAGAAGTTGCAGTGAGCCGAGATTGCGCCACTGCACTCCAGCCTGGGCAACAAGAGTGAAACTCCATCTAAAATAAATAAAAATAAAACATTTGTTTTTTGTAGAGTTGGGGTTTCACTATGTTGCCCAGGCTGGTCTTGAACTCCTCCTGGGCTCAAGCAATCCACCGACCTCAGCCTCCCAAAGTGCTGGGATTACAAGTGTGAGCCACTGTGCCTGGCCCTATTGGGTCCTTTTAAAAGATACATAAAAAATCAAATGCAACAGTGAAGTCAATCACCCGATGGCAGAAATTGGGGTGCTCCTGGCATGTGGTCGGTCGAAGCCAAGGACACTGCTCAGCATTCTGCAGTGCACAGGACGGCCCCGCCCAGGCGGAGAATGATCCGGTGACACATATAGGTGGGAAGGATGCACGAATGATGGCGTTTAGGAAGAATATTATCACTTCTTTCCCGTAAGAGCAACTTAGAGCAAGAAAATGGTATTATTCTTAGGGCCTTCTCTCTTATGGAGGCTCCAAGCCAGGGTTGCCATGGCAGAAGATGCTGGGCTTGCTTTTTCCTTGAGAGAACTGTACTCAAGATGATGTAACTGTCACCCCGGGTGCCACTTGGGTGCTTTGGAGAAGCGCTCAGACGCGACACGCCGTGACGACTCCGCGGCAGGCAGCCGGACCTGTCCTCTGGCGTGCGGTTCACGGGCTGTGTTTATCCCCCTGGTTCCTTCACAGCCACCTTGGGAAATACGTTGCCTCTGAATCACGCCAGGCAGGCTCTCACTGTGTGTGCTGCGGGGCTGGAAATCAGGGTGACACTCCGCTACCGAACAGCCTGACTAGGAAGCCAGAAAGACGCTGCCGGCTTTAGTTTGTCCTTTGACTTTCCTTGATATGAATGAAGATAGAGCACTTCCACACTGCACAACAGGAAAAGCCCAGAACGCTTCCTGGAGATAGCGAGGGGGTGATGCAGCGGACAGCTATGGCTGATGACCCCCTCACCTCTGACTCCCCCTCCCTCCCTGCTTTCTGAACGCACATCCATCACCAACCATAGGTTCCTGTTTGGGGTTTGCTGGCTGGAAAAAAAAAAAAAAAAAAAAGGAAAGCTGGCTTTCTAGTAAAAACCACTTCCTTTGCTCATTTATCAAACTCAAACGCTAGGAGGGCCACCTAACATCCTCCGTCCCACGCAATGGGGTGTTTCTGGAGCACTCCGGTTTATCAGGGACCCTGTCAGTTGCCATCGCACATGTATATGGGGCCAGCCCCTGTGCCACCGAAGAGGGGGGATATTGAAAACATGTTACAGCCAGGAGCGGTGCCCCCTTGGTTCAAGCAGTTCTTCTGCCTCAGCCTCCCTAATAGCTGGGATTACAGGCGTGCACCATCACGCCTGGCCACTGTTATGTAGTTTTTACCACAATTTAAAAAAGGAAAGAGTGCCTGGGTGAGTCCTACGCACCTATTCGGAGAACCAAAGGCTTTGAGGTTATCCTCGGCCCACCCATCTGATGGGAGTGTTTCTCAAACTTGCTTTTCCGTGATCTCCCAGTAAGAAATACCTACTACACACACACAGTCTCCGGTCGGCATGCTTAGGGTAGTCTTCCAATTCCCCCTCCTGGTATTTACACCCTGGAGTGGTCCGCTCCTCTTGGGCTGAACCTGTAACTTGCTCCCAAGCAAGAGCACACAGCAAGCTCACGCACGTGGTTGTTGGTGTGATTCTGTTTCTCCAGATTGTCTCCATTCCTCCCTGGCTTCTCCACAGGGCCGCTCACCATGGCAGCCGGCTCCATCACCACCAGCCAGCGAGAGGGCAAGACAAGAGGGCTGACGAGGGACGCTACCATCACAGAGGTCAGTTTTGTAACCTAACCACAAGACTAACCTACTGTCACTTCTGCCCTATCCTACTGCTAGAAGCCAGTCGCTACATCTCCCCCACACTCAAAGGGAGGTGGTCGCACCGTGGGGTCCACTGGAAGTTGCCTACCAGACTCAGGTCATCCCAAACACACCCTCTAGCCATTTGGTGTGGCATCGGAAAGAAAACTAAGGCCAGGTACGGTGGCTCATGCCTGTAATCCCAACAATTTGGGAGGCCATGGCGGAAGGGTCACTTGAGCCCAGGAGTTTGAGACCAGCCTGGGCAACATAGCAAATGTTATGTTGCCACCTCTACAAATAATTAGCCAAGTGTGGTGGCATGCACCTGTAGTCCCAGATACTCAGGAGGCTGAGGCAGGAGAATCACAGGTCGAGGTTGTAGTGAGCTGTGACGGCACTGCACTCCAGCCTTGGCAACACAGTAAGACCTCGTCTCTAAAAAAGCAAAAAGGGCTGGGTGCACTGGCTCACACCTATAATCCCAGCACTTTGGGAGGCCAAGACGGGTGGATCACCTGAGGTCAGGAGTTCAAGATAAGCCTGGCCAACATGGTGATACCGTCTTTAATTAGCCAGGTGTGGTGGTGGGCGCCTGTAATCCCAGCTACTCGGGAGGCTGAGGCATGAGAATCGCTTGAACATGGGAGACACAGGTTGCAGTGAGCTGAGATCATGCCATTGCACTCCAGCCTGGGCAACAGAGCGAGACTAGGTGGCTGTTCTGTGTACTGTGGGATATTGAGTAGCATCCCTGGCCTCCCCAGTATCTCAAATATGAAAACATGTTTTCTATCTCGATTACTGAGCTTTTCGGTGCCTCCTTCGGTTCTGCACCTAAGCTAAGAGCCCCTTCATCTCACCCTGATCTCTATCCAGTTTCTAACACAGCAGTCTTGTAAGATGCCCGGACTTAAACGGTTATTTCCTGTGAAACAGGTGAAAGGGGCTTTCATCTCTAAAAAGTCGGAACTTTTTTTTTTTTTTGAGACGGAATCTTGCTCTGTCACCCAGGCTGGAGGGCAGTGGCATGATCTCGGCTCACTGCAATCTCCGCCTCCCAGCTTCACACCATTCTCCTGCCTCAGCCTCCCGAGTAGCTGGGACTACAGGCGCCCACCACCATGCCCAGCTAATTTTTTGTATTTTTTTAGTAGAAACAGGGTTTCATTGTGTTAGCCAGGATGGTCTCGATCTCCTGACCTCGTGATCCACCGCGCCCGGCCAAGTCTGAACTTTTGCATGGCCTGTTGCCCTGGTGATAAACTGATGCCTTGTTTCCTAAAAGGAATAAAGCCATGAGTTGCCTTTGTTCAGCTCATGGGCATTCACCCATGCACAGAGGAAAAATAAAATCTACGACTCGGGTACATTTTCTTCTTTTTTTTTTCTTTTAAATGAGCAAGTTTGAGAGTCTGCAGTTTGGACTACCATGAGAATTGATAGGAAGGTGGGAGTCCCAGGCAATCCCAGGTCCTGTAGCAGCAGCTGGTGGGGTTCCCACTCCATGCCGTGCAGAGCCTGAACTCAGGATGACACCTGCACCTGCTCTCTGGCTGGGCTCTGGCACAGGAAGCCCTCAGCAAACACCCCCGGCACAGCCATGCCATAGCCAGACAACAGCTCGCTGTACCACACCATCATGGGAGACAGCAGTTATTCTGAGCATCTCACTGCTGAAGAAACCAAGGCTCAGAGAGGACCATGCATGCACAAGGTCCCACAGGGACCCAAGAATCCACCAAGTGTCAGACAACTTGCCCATGCTCTTCACGGAGCACCTTGGAACCCTCCCCGACAGGCACCGCTGGCTCTCCTGACGTGGCCTGCAAGTGCACGGAGCCCCTTCCTCCTCGGCCATTCCCAGTTTAGATTCCCAGGGGAAGCATCAGATGGCCCCTCTCCCCTGCTGGCAGCAGAGCAGACGGAACCAGCCAGAGCCCAGGGCAGTGCTCACCTGCAGGCCAGTCCACTGCGGCCAGCACCGCCCCCTAGAACCTACTGCGGGCATGGCGGCCGCCAGTCCTGGGTCTCCCGGCTCAGGTAGTGCCAGGAAGCTGCGGGCATGGCGGACAGCTGTCCTCGGTCTGGAGGCGCCATCCTGGCTTTCAAATCTGCTCCAGAGGTTATCTGGGGAGGGGCTGCTCCCTCACAGAGGGAGCCTCTAAGCCCACCAGGCGGGCACTTTCAGCCCAAAGCCTCCGGGCCACCTCCTCATCCTCAGCCTCGGGGGCCGGGGCCTTCTGTTTGAGTCCATCGAAGTACTTTCCGGAAACATCCGCCAGTTCCTCCGCCACGGCCAGGTATGTGCTGGGCTGGGCGGCCAGCTCGGGGCTCTTGACCAGCAGCCAGAAGATGGGCCCTGCAATCAGCCCACAGGGCATTTAGTCCACACTCGCTCAGAGAGAAGGAAGGAAGCCCCGCTCCCCGGTCAGGGAGCTCCGGGTCCCTGGAGTCCCACAGAGCCCTCCTCTAGCCCTTTCCCCTTGGCTGCCTCCATCTGCAGTTCCCTTCCCTGGCACTGCCCAGGCAAATCCCACCAGACCAGGGATCAGACCAAAAGCTGCCTCCCCCAAGGAGCCTTCCTGGCTTTGTCCAGGAAAATGGAAGCTCTCTTCCTCTTGGTCAGCCCCAGTCCTCACCCTACCCCATTTCTCCTTTAATAACATCTTATTAAATGCACCTGGCACCAGCCTCAGGTTAAGGATCTTTTTTTGGCCAGGCGAGGTGGCTCAGGCCTGTAATCCCAGCACTTTGGGAGGCCGAGGCGGGCGGATTACCTGGGGTCGGGAGTTCCAGACCAGCCTGGCCAACATGGTGAAACCCCATTTCTACTAAAAATACAAAAATTAACTGGGTGTGGTGGCGGGTGCCTGTAATCCCAGCTGCTCGGGAGGCTGGGGCAGGAGAATCCCTTGAACCTGGGAGGCGGAGGTTGCAGTGAGCTAAGATCACACCATTGCACTCCAGCCTGGGTGACAATAGCAAGACTTCGTCTCAAAAAAAAAAAAAAAAAAGGGCTGGGCGTGGTGACTCACGCCTGTAATCCCAGCACTTTGGGAGGCTGAGGCAGGTGGATCACCTGAGGTCAGGAGTTCAAGACCAGCCTGGCCAACGTGTGAAACCCTGTCTCAACTAAAAATAAAAACTTAGCTGGGTGTGGTGGTGGGCGCCTGCAATCTCAGCTACTTTGGGAGGCTGAGACAGGAGAATCACTTGAACCGAGGAGGCAGAGGTTGGAGTGAGCCAAGATTGTGCCACTGCACTCCAGCCTGGGTGACGAGCAAAACTCCGTCTCAAAAAAAAAAAGACATTTATTTATTTATTTATTGAGACCTGGTGTCTTGCTCTGTCACCCAGGCTGGAGTGCAGTGGTGTGATCTCAGCTCACTGCAACCTCTGCCTCCCGGGTTCAAGCGATTCTCCTGCCTCAGCCTCCTGAGTAGCTGGGACTACAGGTGCACACCACCACACCTGGCTAATTTTTGTATTTTTAGTAGAGACGGGGTTTCACCATGGTGGCCAGGCTGGTCTCGAACTCCTGACCTGAGGTAATCCGCCCACCACAGCCTCCCAAAGTGCTGGGATTACAGGCGTGGCTATTAGCCTCGCCAAGTTAAGATTCTTGATGCCAACCAATCACCCACTCCATGTTTTTCAGGATTATAAACACTAGTCATAAAGCATGAACTGCCTGGGGGTGGTGGCTCACACCTGTAATCCCAGCACTTTGGGAGGCAGTTGGATCACCTGAGGTCAGGAGTTTGAGACTAGCCTGACCAATATGGTGAAACCCCACCTCTAGCTGGGTGTGGTGGTGTGCACCTGTAATCCCAGCTACTTGGAGACAGGAGAATCGCTTGAACCTGGGAGGTGGAAGTTGCAGTGAGTGGAGATCATGCCATTGTACTCCAGCCTGGGCGACAGAGCAAGACTTCATCTCAAAAATAAGTAAGTAAAGCTCCAACTGTTTGTTCCACCTATTCTCTGGGCGGGGTCCTGTGCTGGCCCTTTCAAGGAAGGTCTCGTATAACCCCCCCAGTGACTGTGAGGTGAGTCCTATTAAGGCCTGCACTCTGCAGATGAAGAAACAGGCTCAGAGGGGTAACAGCTCTTCCCCAGGAGGTGCAGCTGGTTTGGGGTGAAGCTGGAGTTACCCTGAGTACAGCCTGACTCCAGGCGTCAGCTCCACGGCCTCTTCCTCTGAGACACGGTTTTCTCATCCGCCAGCAGGGCTCTGCCTGCTTCCCGGGGCTGTTAGAGGCTGGCAGGCCAGGTCAACGGAGGAAAGGGACCTGTGCTCTGTGCCTCAGAAGACGTAGGCGAGGAGCAGGCATGAGGCCTCAGGGACGGTCTCTGAGGGAGGGTCCTGGGCCCTGGGCTGAGAAAGCAGGGGTGGAGGGCTCCACGTGGAGACCCCAGGCTGGGAGGGGACTCACCGAGTGTGGTGCTGGAGAAGGTGGAGCCATGGATGCCCGTGTGTCTGCCCAGCTCTGTCCTGGCCACGCCGGGGTGCAGGGCGTTGACAGTCACACCAGAGCCTGGGGAAGAAAGAAAGAGAAGACTGAGGGAGGGGTCCAGCCTCACCTGGGAGGCTGTGGCAGCCCACACCCAGCTGTGGGGCTTCCGGGCACCAGGCTGCTTCCTGCACTCAAACCCCATCGTCCCTCTTGCTCTGGAATCTTAGTGAAGTGGTCTTATCTTGCGGAGCGGCTCTGCCACATGGCTGCTGGGAGCCGAGCTTTCCTGGAGGGCTTCATAAACCCAGAACGCTGAGCTTACCCCGGGAGCCTGCATCGGTGCGTGGCGGTGGGACCTAAGATACTGTAACTCTGACCAGCTCCCAGTGGGGCTGGCACCGCTGGTCCACAGACCGTCTTTCAGAAGCAAAGGCCTAGCACAGATTTCTCAATCTCAGCACTGTGGATGCTGTGGGTTGGGAGGAGTGAGGGGCCATCCCGTGCGCTGTAGGACATTGAGAGCATCTGGGCCTTTACCCTCCAGATGCCCAGAGCAATCTCTCCCCAAGCCAGCTGTGATCACTGTGTTTCCAGGCATTGACAACTGCGGGTCAAAACTGCCCCTGGTTGAGACTCACTGGCTGGAGCCAAAAGGCTGAGCTGCCTGCCCAACAGCAGCAGGGAAGGACATCTGATCCAGGCAGACTAGACCACCTGGGATGAACAGACAATCCTCAGAAGAACGATCGATTAGTGATGTCTGCTTCAGGCACCAGAAGCGGGCAGCGTGGTCCACATGCTCTACTTTTGCTGACTCTGTTCTGGATCCACCGTTTGGCCTCCCATCAGCCTAGGATCATGGAAAGGCCGCTCTAGGCTCAGAGTAAAGCAAGAGGGAGGCCGAGCCTAGCGCCCCCGTACCTTGCAGCCGCCGGCTCAGCTCCTTGGTGAAGAGGACGATGGCGAGCTTGCTCTGGCAGTAGGCGGCTTTGGTGTTATACTTCCTCGTCTGCCAGTTCAAGTCGTCAAAGTCTATGTGCCCAGCAACATGGGCCAGGGACGAGAGGTTGATGATCCGCGAAGGGGCTGAGGCTTTCAGCTTGTCCAGCAGCAAGTTTGTCAAGAGAAAGTGACCTGGATTAAGGATGATGAAAAGGTCACTTTTGACTCACACCTAAAATCCCAGCACTTTGGGAGGACGACGGGGGAGGATCGCTTGAACCCATGGTGCAGCCCCTGCCCAGGCCTCACCCAGGTGGTTAACGCCAAACTGCATCTCGAAGCCGTCCTCGGTGGTCCAGTGGGGGCACCGCATCACACCCGCGTTGTTGATTAGAATGTCCACTCGCTCCTCCTCTGGAAGAGAGGGGTGGAGGAGGAGACATCCCGGTGAGGACAGACCCCAGCCTGATGCACCAGCAGAAACACTCCTGTGCTCCCACAACCTGTGAATGTGGCCTGTGCCGGAAACAGGGTCTGTGCCGAAGTGGCCATGTCAGGATGCGGTCATTAGGGTGAGCCCTAATCCAATGACTGGTGTCCTTATAGGAAGGGAAAACAGAGACAGAGACACATGGGGAGAAGGCCATGTGTGGACAGAGGCAAAGACCGGAGAGGCACAGCTCCAAGGTGAGGGTGGGCCGCCCCCGCTGGAAGTGGAAGAGGCTGGGAGGATTATGGCCCGTCTCACAGGTCACAGCCACAGGGACACCGCGATTCAGACTGCCGGCTTCCGGAACCGTGAGGGAATGCACGTCTGAGGGTGTAAGCCACTGGGTTTGCAGTACATTGTTACAGCAGCTCCAGGACACTCACACGCCCTCCGCACCTCCATCTAAGCCTTGGGACTCCTTCCTGCCGGAGCCCCGAGGCCAAAAACGGGAGGTTACCGGTGGGAGCCCCGGCACCGCAGGCGTGGTTTCATTCCCAAACCTGCCACCTCACTCATACAAGCAACCAAAGGACACACAGATGGAGACTGCAGCCTCAGTTTCCTCAGCTGTAAAATGCGCTGAACCACAGGGCCTTCCTCCCTGTACCACTCAGCTCGGGTTCCGTAACAAAGTGCCACAGACAGGTGGTTTAAAACCTCACAGACCTGGCCGGGCACAGTGGCTCACGCCTGTAATCCCAGCACTTTGGGAGGCCGAGGTGGGCAGATCACCTGAGGTCAGGAGTTTGAGACCAGCCTGGCCAACATGGAGAAACCGCGTCTTTACTAAAAATACAAAATTAGCCAGGCGTGGTGGCATGCACCTGTAATCCCAGCTACTCAGGAGGCTGAGGCGGGAAAATCGCTTGAAACCAGGAGGCAGAGGGTGCAGTGAGCCGAGATCGCATCATTACACTCCATCCTGGGCAATAAAAGCAAAACTCCATCTCAAAAAAAAAAAAAAAAATCACAGTCCCAGAGGCTGGAAGTCCCAGATCAAGGTGTGGGCAGGGCTGGTTCCCTCTCAGGGCCCTCAGGGAGGATCCGCTCTGGTCTCTCTCCTTGGCTCACAGGTGACCATCTCCTCTCTCCCTCTTCCCTTCCTCTTCCCTTTGGAGCTGTCTCTTTTTTTTTTTTCATTTTTCCTTTTTTAATTTTAGATTTTTCAGACATGGTCTCACTATGTTGCCCAGGCTGGTCTCAAACTCTTGAACTCAAGCAATCCTCCTGCTTTGGCCTCCCAGAGTGCTGCAATTTCACTGCCCCCAGCCTATTTTTTTTTTTTTGGGGGGGGGAGATGGAGTTTCACTCTTGTCACCCAGGCTGGAGTGCAATGGTGCGATCTTGGCTCACTGCAACCTCTGCCTCCCAGGTTCAAACAATTCTCCTGCCTCAGCCTCCCAAGTAGCTGGACTACAGGCATCCACCACCACACCGGGTTAATTTTTTGTATCTTTAGTAGAGACGGGGCTTCACCATGTTGGCCAGGCTAGTCTCACACTCCTGACCTCGTGATCCACCTACCTCAGCCTCCCAAAGTGCTGGGACTGCAGGCGTGAGCCACCACACTCAGTCTACTTGGCCTATTTTTTATATTTCTTTGAGACAGGGTCTCCCTCTGACACCTGGGCTGGAGTACAGTGGCGCAATCACTGCTCACTGCAGCCTCAACCTCCCAGGCTCAAGCAGTCTTCTTGCTCAGCCTCCCAAGTAGCTGGGGCCACAGGCATGCGCCACCATGCCCAGCTAGCACGTCTGTTTCTGTGCGCAAATCTCCCCTTTTCATAAGGACACCAGTCACTGGATTAGGGCCCACCCTAATGACCTCATTTTCACTTCAGGACCTCTGTAAACACCCACCTCTAAATGAAGTCACATGCTGAGGGATGGGGGTTCAGGATCCCAACCTATCCTTGGGGGTGGAGGACACAATGGAATTCATAATGCTCCCGAAGTGGTTTTCGGCGGGGATCGTGAATTAGGTGTCCAGCGCGTAACACACAGACACCATCTGGTTCTCTGTGTGAGAAGGAGGGGGTTGCAGCACACCCGTCATGAATACCAGCTCTGGAGCAGGACAGACAGGTTCAAAGCCTGGCTCCACCCCGACCAGCTGCATGATCCTGGCCAAGTCACATCACTTCTCTGTGACTCAGTTTACTCCTTGTAAAAAAAAAAAAAAAAAAAGGATAATAACATCACCTGCCTGGTACAACTGTATACTTACTCATTCAGTAAGTATTTTCTAAGCACCTATTACTGGGCACTGGAAATACAGGGTGGACAGCACAGCCGAGGCCCCGTCCGTGTGGACCGGACATTCCAGTGCAGCTGAGAGCCACTTCCACTCGTGAGAGAATCTACCCGTGACAGAGCTGCGTGGAAGCTGACAGGAGGCCCCTCTCAGGAGGTGACGCAGAAACTGGGACCGGGAAAATGAGGCAGGGCCCACGTGCGGAGACCCAGGGAAGGGGGATGCAGGCAGCAGGCGCAGCACGGGTAAGGCCCAAAGGCGGGACAGGGAGACTCCACTCACAGCTGGGCGCCCAGGAGTGCCGCCAGCTTCTGGTGTTTTGTTTTGGTTTTTTTTCTTTTTTTTTTTGAGATGAAGTCTCACTCTGCCACCCAGGCTGGAGTGCAGTGGTGTGATCTTGGCCCATGGCCCACTGCAACCTCTACCGCCTGGGTTCAGGCGATTCTGCTGCCTCAGCCTCCCGAGTACTGGGATTACAGGTGCCCGCCACCGCACCCTGCTAATTTTTGCATTTTTAGTAGAGACGGGGTTTCACCATCTTGGTCAGGCTGGTCTTGAATTCTTCACCTCGTGATCCACCCGCCTCTGCCTCCCAAAGTGCAGGGATTACAGGTGTGAGCCACCGCGCCCAGCCTGTTTTTTTTTTTTTCTTTTTATGAGAGGGAAGCTCACTCAGTGGCCCAGGCTGGAGTGCAGTGGCGCGATCTCAGCTCACAGCAACCTCCGCCGCCAGGGCTCAAACGATCCTCCCACCTCAGCCTTCCACATAGCTGAACCACAGGCGCCCGACACCACAAGCAGCTACTTTTAAAATTTTTTGTAGAAATGGGGTTTGGCTATGTTGCTTAGGCTGGTCTCGAATTTCTGAGCTTAGGCAATTCGCCCACCTCGGCCTCCCAAAGTGCTGGGATTGCAGGCGTGGGCCACAGTGCCTGGCCTGTTGTTTTGTTTATCTGGGAACTGCCTCAACTTTTTTTTTTTTTTTTTTTTTTTGGACACAGGGTCTCACCCCGAGTGCAGTGGTACAATCAAAGCTCACTGCAGGCCGGGCGTGGTGGCTCACATCTGTAATCCCAGCACTTTGGGAGGCCGAGGCGGGCAGATCACCTGAGGTCAACCAGCCTGACCAACATGGTGAAACCCTGTCTCTACCTAAAACAAAAAAGTAGCCGGGCATGGTGGCAGGTGCCTGTAATCCCAGCTACTCAGGAGGCTGAGGCAGGAGAATTATTTGAAACCAGGAGATGGAGGTTGCAGCCTGACCAACAGGAAGAAACCCCGTCTCTACTAAAAATACAAAATTAGCCGGGCGTGGTGGCGCATGCCTGTAATCCCAGCTACTCGGGAGGCTGAGGCAGGAGAATCACTTGAACCCAGGAGGTGGAGGATGCCGTGAGCCAAGATCCCGTCATTGCACCAGCCTGGGCAACAAGAGCAAAACTCCGTCTTAAAAAAAAAAAAAAAAAATCCCTCACTGCAGCCTCAACCTCCCAGGCTCAAGCAATCCTCCCACCTCCACCTCCCAAGTAGTTGGGACTACAAGTGCACACCATCACGCCTGCCTCATTGTTTTTTATTTTTTTTTTGAGATGGAGTCTCACTCTGTCACCCAGGCTGGAGTGCAGTGGCGCCATCTCGGCTCACTGCAAGCTCCACCTCCCGGGTTCACGCCATTCTCCTGCCTCAGCCTCCCAAGTAGCTGGGTTACAGGTGCCCGCCACCACGCCCGGCTAATTTTTTTGTGTTTCTTAGTAGACACGGGGTTTCACCGTGTTGGCCAGGATGGTCTCGATCTCCTGACCTTGTGATCCGCCCGCCTCAGCCTCCCAAAGTGCTGGGATTACAGGCGTGAGCCTGCACGCCTGCCTGATTGTTTTGTATTTTTTGTAGAGATGAGGTCTTGCTATGTTGCCCAGGCTGATCTCAAACTCCCTGATAAACAAGGCTGTGGGTACCTGCTTCCTGGGGCTCTTTGCTTTGTGTTCTTTCTAGTCGGGAGCTGGGAAGAGCCACAGCTTCCAGCTTTGTCAGAGTGTCATCTCACAAACTGATCTTCCCAAAACTTCTGTCTCCCAAAGTGCCGGGATGACAGGCGTGAACCGCTGCACCTGGCCTGCCCCAGTGTGGTAGAATACACACCACATAAAATGGACGATCTTCACTATTTTTAAATCCACTGCTGTCTTTATTCCTGGCTGTTGATCTTAGGAAAACACCAAGAAGCTGGTACTTGATTTGCTAAAAAAGTCACAGACACAGCTTTACTTAATCCTCTAGAGAGGCTGGGCGTGGTGGCTCATGCCTGTAATCCCAGCACTTTGGGAGGCCGAGGTGGCTGGATCATGAGGTCAGGAGATCGAGACCATCCTGGCTAACACGGTGAAACCCCGTCTCTAGTAAAAAATATAAAAAATTAGCCGGGCGTGGTGGCAGGCGCCTGTAGTCCCCCGCCACTCGGGAGGCTGAGGCAGGAGAATGGCATGAACCCGGGAGGCGGAGCTTGGAGTGAGCCGAGATGTGCCACTGTCCTCCAGCCTGGGCGACAAAGCAAGATACCGTCTCAGAAAAAAAAAAAAACCCCTCTAGAGAATCCCAGAAAATAGAAGGAATTATTCCATTTCCCGGAAGAGGAACGTGTGGCTAAGAGAGGAGGCATCACCTGCCCAGGTGTGTCCAGCCGGGGTCCTCACTGTCTCAGGGACCTCAGTGCTCCGGACACCTGTGTCCACAAGCCAGAGACAGGATCAGAGGCGCCCTGGGTGGGATTGCCTGGGACAGTGTGCATGAAGGTGACAGTGCTGTACCTGGTACACAGCAGGTGCTTAATAAATGTTCATCCACCTCTGAGACTCTGAGGCATTGCCCTCTCACTGTTCTTTGTGATCTCACCGTAGTGCCTCTCACCTACCCGACAACAGTGCCGGCTCTTTCTTGATCCCCAAGGGCACAGCAGGGGCTCAGTATGAATGAATGAATGAACCAACGAATGTGCACCTGCACCTGCCTCCCTAGGGCTGTGAGTGGCACAAGGACAGCTCTGGTTCATCTCACACCTCCAGCACCTGGTCAGGTCTGAGATCACGTCTGCTAAATAAATGAGGTCCCACAACTCCCCCATTCCTTGTTCATTTCCTGAGTACCCGTTTACTGAGCGGGGCACATTGACTCTGAAGAAGAAAGCTTTGGCCCTTTCAGTGCCAGACTAGAAAAGAAACAAAGCAGCTGGGCATGGTGGCTCATGCCTGTAATCCCAGCACTTTGGGAGGCTGAGGCAGGCGGATCACAAGGTCAGGAATTCGAGACCAGCCTGGCCAACATAGTGAAACCCCGTCTCTACTAAAAATACAAAAATTAGCCGGGCATGGTGGCACCCGCCTATAGTCTTGGGAGGCTGAGGCAGGAGAATCGCTTGAACCCAGGAGGCGGAGGCTGCAGTGAGCCAAGATCGCATCATTGCACTCCAGCCTGGGTGACAGAGCAAGACTCCATCTCAAAAAAAAGGTCTTGCTCTGTCATCCAGGTTAGAGTGCAGTGGCACAAATACGGCTCACTGCAGCCTTGAACTCTCGGGCTCAAGTGATCCTCTTGCCTCAGCCTCCTGAGTAGCTGGGACTGTAGGCACATGCCAGGATGCCCGGCTAATTTTTTTTTTTTTTTAATCTTTGGTACACACAAGGTCTCACTATGCTTCCTAGGCTGGTCTCTAACTCCTGAGCTCAAGCAATCCTAAGAGAAGAGATTTTAAATGTGGTCACCACAAAAACAGGTAAGTATTTGAGGTAATGCATATGTTAATTAGCTTGATTTAGCCATTCTACAATGTATACAATGTACATCATGCTGTACATAATATATACAAGTATACATGTCAACTAAACAATAAATAATTTTAGTGTATTCTTGAGTCTATTTAAAGATGAACAAGAATAGAAAAGCTAGAGGATGGTCCCAGTTTTACATAAAAATATATAAATACACACACAAACCTATTATAAACAAGACTAGAAAGATCCATAAAAGTGATTCTCCTGGGGCTGGTGCAGATCAAAGTTGTTTAGTTCTGTCTTCTTTTTTATTGAGACAGAGTCTCACTCTGTCACCCAGGCTGGAGTGCACTGGCACAATCTCAGCTCACTGCAACCTCCGCCTCCTGGGTTCAAGCAATTCTCCTGCCTCAGCACCCTGAGTAGCTGAGATTACAGGTGTGCACCACCACGCCTGGCTAATTTTTGTATTTTTAGTAGAGACAGGGTTTCACCATGTTGGCCAGGCTGGTCTCGAACTCCTGACCTCAAGGGATCCACCTGCCTCAGCCTCCCAAAGTGCTGGGATTAACAGGCGTGAGCCACTGTGCCCAGCCAGTTCTGTCTTCTTTACATTGCAGTATTTTATAAATGTCCCATAACAAACACATATTTCTTTAACCATGGTGGGGAAGGCACTTGATCAATAAATGCTTAATAAGGTCAGGTGCGGTGGCTCACGCCTGTAATCCCAGCACTGTGGGAAGCTGACCTGGGTGGATCACTTGAGCCCAGGAGTTGGAGACCAGCCTGAGCAACATGGTGAAACCCCAGCTCTAAAAACAAAACAAAACAATAAAACAATAATTAGCTGTGTGTGGTGGCGTATGCCTGTACTCCCAGCTACTTGGGAGGCTGAAGTGGGAGGATCCCTTGAGCCCAGCAGGTTGAGACTGCAGTGAGCCATGACTGCACCACTGCACTCTAGCCTGGGTGACAGAGATGGATCCTGTCTCAAACAAACTAATTATTCAGGTAGGGCACGGTGGCTCACACCTGTAATCCCAGCACTTTGGGAGGCCAAGGGAAGCAGATCACCTGAGGTCAGGAGTTCGAGACCAGCCTGACCAACATGGTGAAACCCTGTCTCTACCTAAAACACAAAAAATTAGCCAGGCACGGTGGCGGGTGCCTGTAATCCCAGCTACTCAGGAGGCTGAAGCAGGAGAATCATTTGAAATCGGGAGACGGAGGTTGCAGTGAGGCAAGATCACACCACTGCACTCCAGCCTGGGCAACAGAGCGAGACCCCATCTGTCTCAAAACAAACAAACAAAACAAAGTCAGCCGGGCGCAGTGGCCCACGCCTGTAATCCCAGCACTCTGGGAGGCTGAGGCAGGAGAATCACCTGAGGTCAGGAGTTCCAGACCAGCCTGGCCAACGTGGTGAAACCCCGTCTCTACTAAAAATACAAAAATTAGCAGGGTATGGTAGCAGGCATCTTAATCCCAGCTACTCAGGAGGCTGAGGTCCGCGCTTGAACCCAGGAGGCAGAGGTTACAGTGAGCCGAGATCGCGCCATTGCACTCAGCCTGGCCGACAGAGTGAGACTCCCTCTCAAAATAACAGTAGTAATAAATAAATAAAGTCGTTGCTTGCAGGCTGTACAAAAAAAGGCAGCAACTGGACTTGGCCCCTAACTCATAGTTTGCCAAAACTCTGCTCTAAAGTTTGCTTGCTTCATTCACTTCTCAGAGCCTGGCCCTGGGAGCCGCCTATCCCAGTCCTCATCCCACATGGCCAGCGTTCTCCTACCTTCAATGATCTTTGCTGCAAACTCTCGGATAGACTTGAGGGAAGCCAAGTCCAGGTGCCGGGCGTTGACATGGTGATTGAGGGTCTCCCCGCGGATGTCCTTTGCTGCCGCCTCACACTTCTCCATGTCTCGGCAGGCCAGGATGATGTTGCCTCCTGAAAACCCAGGATGGAAAAAGATTTAAATTAATAATCCACTCCTGGGTACTGACCCCAGAGACATGAAAACATACGTCTACACAAAAACACATCCACCAATGTTCACTGCGGCATTCTTCACAAAAGCCAAAAGGTAGAAACAACCAAATGCCCATCTGTGGATGAAGGGACAACAAAATGTGGTCCATCCATAGAGATGGAATATTAGACGGCCGTGAAAAGGAGTGAAGCACTGGCTCATGCTACAGCAAGGATGACCGTCAGAAACACTGTGCTCGGGGAAAGAAACCAGACACGAAAGACCACACAGCGTACAATCCCATTTACATGAATTCTATGTATATGATTTCACACCTATGAAACGCCCAGAATAGGCAAATCCATAGAGAAAGAAAATAGATTCTTGGTTTTCTAGGGCAGGGGGTGGGGAGAGGGAATTACAGCTTGATAGTTACAGTGAGCAGGTTTCTTTCTAGGGTAACAGATGTTCTAAGATTGATTTTAAAGATGGTTGCATCATTCTGTGACTATACTAAACATCACTGAATTGGTCGGGCACGGTGGCTCACACCTGTAATTCCAGCACTTTGGGAGGCCAAGGCAAGAGGATTCCCCATCCTCTCCTTTTTTTTTTTTTTTTAGATGGAGTCTCACTCTGTCACCCAGGCTGGAGTGCGGTGGCGCAATCTCGGCTCACTGCAACCTCCACCTCCTGGGTTCAAGCAATTCTCCTGCCTCAGCCTCCCGAGTAGCTGGGATTACAGGCACCTACCACAACTAGCTAATTTTTTATTTTTTTATTTTTAGTAGAGACAGCGGTTTCACCATGTTAGCCAAGCTAGTCTTGAACTTCTGACCTCAGGTGATCCACCCCGCGGCCTCCCAAAGTACTGGGATTACAAATAAGCCACAATGCCCAGCCTCCAATTTTTTTTGTTGTGGTAAAATACAAATCACTTAAAATTTATCATCTTAACCCCCTTTTCTTTTTGTTTATTATTATTTTTTTTTTTTTGAGTCAGTCTCACTCTGCTGCCGCGGCTGGAGTGCTGGCGCCATCACAGCTCATTCAGCCTTGAACTCCTAGGCTCAAGTGACCTGGGACTATAGGTACCACCTGTGCCAGCATGCCTGGCTAACTCTGGTAGAGATGGGGGTGTTGCTATGGTGTCCAGGCTGGTCTGGAACCCCTGGCCTCAAGTGATCCTCCTGCCTCAGCCTCCAAAAGTGCTGGAATTATAGATGTGAGCCACCGAGACCCGCCCTCTTAGCCATTTTTAAGTGTCCAGTTCATTGGTATTAAAAACATTTATGGCTGGGCCGGGCATGGTGGCTCACACCTGTAATCCCAGCACTTTGGGAGACCAAGGCAGGTGGATCACCTGAGGTCAGGAGTTCAAGACCAGCCTGGCCAACACATTACAAACTTAGCTGGGTGTGGTGTTGCATGCCTGTAATCCCAGCTACTCGGGTGGCTGAGGCAGGAGAATTGCTTGAACCCGGGAGGCGAAGGTTGCAGTGAGCCAAGATCATGCCACTGCACTCCAGCCTGGGCGACAAGAGCAAAACTCCATCTCAAAAAAAAAAAAACAATAATAATAATTCCTAATGTTGTGCAACCATTACAACCATCCATCTCTCAAATTGTTTCATCTTGCCAAACTAAACTTCCGTTTCCATTAAACAGTAACTCCCCATTCTCCCCTCCCCTCCTGACCCCTGGCAAGCACCATTCCAACTTCTCTATGAATTTAACTGTAGGTAGCTCCTGTAAGTGGAATCATACCGTATTTGCTCTTCTGTCGACTGGCTTATTTCACTTCATGGAATGTCCTCAAGGTTCATCTGTTTCAATGCCCTTTTTTTTGTTTTGCTTTGTTTTGTTTTGTTTTTGAGTCTCACTCTGTCACCCAGGCTGGAGTGCCGTGGCGCCATCTCTGCTCACTGCAACCCCTGCCTCTCAGGTTCAAGCGATTCTCCTGCTTCAGCCTCCCAAGCAGCTGGGACTACAGGTGCCCACCACAACTCCTGGCTAATTTTTGTATTTTTAGTAGAGAGGGGGTTTCACCATGTTGGTTAGGCTGGTCTCGAACTCCTGACCTCGTGATCCGCCAGCTTTGGCCTCCCAAAGTACTGATTACAGGCGTGCACCACCGCGCCCGGCCAGAATGCCCTTCCTTTTTAAGGCTGAATCATATGCCCCTGTCTATAGAAGCCACATTCTGTTTCCCTGTTCATCTGTGGATGGGTGCCTGGGTTCCTTCCACCTCCGGACTGTGAATAATGCTGCAGTGAGCATGGATGTACAGATATCTCTCTGAGAGCCAAAGCAGGGGAGATTTTACCTCTCCTGGCCAGTTCCAAGGCGGTCTGCTTCCCGATGCCTGTGTTGGCACCCGTCACGATGACCGTCTTCCCAGGGATGGTGGCCTTGCTGGGGCAAGCCCCACCGGTGACATAGTCCCTGAGGGTGAGAAGCGGCACGGTCAGTCCTGTGGGCCCACTCTCACCCCACGTGCCCCTGACTGAATGATCTCAGGCAACCTTGTCTGAGCTCACTCACATACCCCAACTGAAACACAGACATCATCACATCACACCAAGGGACCTCTGTCATGTTCTCCATAAGTGGCTCCACCCAGTGTCTGGCGTGTGGAACGCCTTCAGCAAGTGACAGTCATTATTTTATAAATGCTCACTGCATGAGATTCCCGGCCAGGTGAGGGGGCTTGCACCTGTAATCCCAGCACTTTGGGAGGCCAAAGTTTTGGGGGTGGGGGGGGGCGGGGGCGGATCACTTGAGGTCAGGAGTTCGAGTCCAGCCTGGCAAACATGGCGAGACCCCGTCTCTACTTAAAATACAAAAATTAGCCAGATGTGTAGGGAAAAGAGAGATTAGACTGTTACTGTGTCTATATAGAAAGGAAAGACATAAGAGACTCCATTTTGAAAAAGACCTGTACTTTGAACAATTGCTTTGCTGAGATGTTGTTAATTTGTAGCTTTGACCCAGCCACTTTGACCCAATCTGGAGCTCACAAAAACCTGTGTTGTATGAAATCAAGGTTTAAGGGATCTAGGGCTGTGCAGGAAGTGCCTTGTTAACACAATGTTTCCAAGCAGTATACTTGGTAAAAGTCATCGCCAGTCTCTAGTCTCAATAAACCAGGGGCACGATGCACTGCAGAAAGCTGCAGGGACCTCTGCCCTTGAACACAGAGTATTGTCCAAGGTTTCTCCCCGTGGGATAGTCTGAAATATGGCCTCGTGGGATGAGAAAGACCTGACCGTCCCCCAGCCCAACACCCGTAAAGGGTCTGTGCTGAGGTGGATTGGTAAAAGAGGAAAGCCTCTTGCAGTTGAGAGAGAGGAAGGCCACTGTCTCCTGCCTGACCCTGGGAACTGAATGTCTCGGTATAAAACCTGATTGTACATTTGTTCAATTCTGAGACAGGAGAAAAGCCGCCCTATGGCGGGAGGCGAGACATGTTTACAGCAATGCTGCCTTGTTATTCTTTACTCCGCTGAGATGTTTGGGTGGAGAGAAACATCAATCTGGCCTACGTGCACGTCCAGGCATAGTACCTTCCCTTGAACTTAATTATGTCATAGATTCTTTTGCTCACATGGTTTTTGCTGACCTCATTATCACCCTGCTCTCCTACTACATTCCTTTTTGCTGAAATAATGAAGATAATAATCAGTAAAAACTGAGGGAACTCAGAGGCCGGTGCCGGTGCAGGTCCTTGGTATGCTGAGCGCCGGTCCCCTGGGCCCACTGTTGTTTCTCTATACTTTGTGTCTTATTTCTTTTCTCAGTCTCTCGTCCCACCCAACTAGAAATACCCACAGGTGTGGAGGGGCAGGCCACCCCTTCACAGGCGTGGTGGTGCACACCTGTAATCTCAGCTACTCAGGGGGCTGAGGCACGAGAATTGCTTGAACCTGGAAGGCGGAGGTTGCAGTGAGTCGAAATGGTGCCAGCCTGGGCAACAGAGCGAGACTCTGTCTCAAAAAAATTTAAATTTAAATTTAAAATGCCCGCTGCACGAGATTCCCAAGGCTGCTGTACGCATTACCACAGACTTAGTGGCTTAAAACCACATAAGTGCATCCTCCTCCAGTTCGGCAGGTCAAGAGTCCAAAACATGTCTCACTGGAATAAATCAAGGTATTGGTAGAGTCAGGTTCCTTCTGGAGGCTCTAGGGAAGAATCCACTTCCAGCTCCTACAGACCGCCACATTCCTCCACTCTTGGCCCCGCCTCCATCTTCAACCTGCATCCTCACTGGAACCTCTCCTTTATTTATTTATTTATTTACTTATTTATTTTTGAGACAGAGTCTCGCTCTGTCGCCCAGGCTGGAGTGCAGTGGCTCAATCTCAGCTCACTGTAACCTTCGCCTCACAGGTTCAAGCGATTCTCCTGCCTTAGCCTCCTGAGTGGCTGGGATTACAGGCACATGCCACCACACCTGGCTAATTTCTTTTGTATTTTTAGTAGAGACAGAGTTTTACCACGTTGGTCAGGCTGGTCTCGAACTCCTGACCTTGTGATCCGCCTGCCTTGGCCTCCCAAAGTGCTGCGATTACAGGCGTGAGCCACCACACCCAACAACCTCTCCTTCTATCTTCCATCTCCCCTCTGACTGAGCCTCCTGCTCCCTCTTATAAGGACCCTATAAGACTACAAGGCAGGACCGGCACAGTGCCTCACACCTGTAATCCCAGCACTTTGGGAGGCCAAGACAGGAGGATCACTTGAGGTCAGGAGTTCGAGACCAGCCATGGCCAACATGCTGACACCCCATCTCTACTAAAAATACAAAAATTAGCAGGGCTTGGTGGTGCACGCCTGTAGAGTCAGCTACTCGGGAGGCTGAAGTGGGAGGACCACCTGAGCCCAGGGAGGGTGAGGCTGCAGTGAGCTGTGACAGCATGACTGCACTCCAGCCTGGGTGACAGAGAGACCCTGTCTCCAAAAAAAAAAAAAGACTACATGATAATCATAAGATCCTTCACTTGGCCGGGCACGGTGGCTCACGCCTGTAACCCCAGCACTTTGGGAGGCCAAGGTGGCCAGATCCCCTTTGGTCGGGAGCTCAAGACCAGCCTGACCAACATGGAGAAACCTCGTCTCTACTAAAAATACAAAATTAGACAGGCGTGGTGGCACATGCCTGTAATCCCAGCTACTCAGGAGGCTGAGGCCGGACAATCGCTTGAACCCGGGAGGTGGAGGTTGTGGTGAGCCGAGGTCGTGCCATTGCACTCCAGCCTGGGCAACAACAGCGAAACTCTGTCTCAAAAAAAAAAAAGATGCTTCACTTAACACATCAGCGAGAACCTCTGACACGTGAGGTAATGTCGTCACACCTTCCGAGGATTAGGACGTGGACCCCTCTACGGAGTCACGACTCTGCCCACCACACCCATGTCCCACAGAGGCTAACGCTGGCAACAAGATAGTGTCCAGCAACAGGAGGCTGAGCAGGTAAACAGCACTGCACCCACAGGAGAGAAGGGCACCATGCAATACAGTGGCCACCAGCCACAGAGGCTAATTTTTAAGAAAGTTTAAATTAAGTAGGCTGGGCGAGGTGGCTCACGTCTGTAATCCCAGCACTTTGGAGGCCGAGGCAGGCGGATCACCTGAGGGCAGGTGTTTGAGACCAGCCTGGCCAACATGGCAAAACCCCGTCTCTGCGAAAAATACAAAAATTAGCCGGGCGTGGTGGCGCACGTGTGATCTCAGCTCCTGGGGACGCCAAGGTGGGAGGATCACCTGAGCCCAGGAGGTCAAGGCTGCAGTGAGCCAAGATCGCGCCACTGCACTCCAGCCTGGGCGACAGAGCCAGATTCTGCCTTTAAAAATAAACGAACAAATAAATAATACAAAACAACAAAATAAAGAGTTTAAAAGTCTGGAAGGAAAGCAACATTTACAAGGGCCCAGGCTCGCCCTTCCCTCCGAGTGACCTTGGGCCGGTGACCTGGCCGGCCAGAGCGCAGGTTTGCCCCACTCCGGGCGGGCACTGCGGGTCGGGAGCTACGGGGCCTGGACCCGGGTGCGAGGGGCGGGGGTCTCCGCCGCCTTCCCGGCCCCTGCGCTGGGGGCCCGCCTTGACCGCGCACGCGGGGCTAGAATGTACTCACTTGAGCAGCACGGCGGCGCCTGCTACCGTGCCCAGCGCCGACAGCGGCAGCAGGTAGCGGCTCATGCCGGGCCGGGGACAGGCGTCAGGCGTCAGGGGTCGGCGCGGAGCTTGCTGCACACCAGCCGCCTGGGTAGCTCCGAGGAAGAGCGCGCGACGCAGCCACAGGCGAGCGGAGGCGCAGGCGCGGCTGGGCCCGCGTCCGGAACTGGGCTGCGAGGGGCGGGGCGCGGGCGGAGGGGGCGGGGATCCTAGGGACGGGACCTATGAGCATCGGTCCTGAGCGCTGTCACAGCTGGGATTGGTGGTTTCAGGAGCCTGTGGGCGTGGCTAGTCCGGGGGCGGGGCCTATGGTTTGTTCGAATGACGTCACACTTGCCGCAGCGTATAAGGCGCTACGCAGTTCTGGAGTGAAATAGGTTCGAATCCCACCACTGTCAATTCCAGACTGTGACCCTCTGTGTGTCTTTCAACTATATCAGCCTATTCCCTCATCTGGAAATGTGTGTTTACCTTCTTCATAGACTTTTGGAGATAATTTGAGAATTTCCATGCACAGAAACAAGGATCTAGTAGCCTGTGGGTACCCAAGCTCCTGGGGTCCTGCAGGAGAAGGCGGCTGGGGGCCTGGACTCCTGGGTCTGAGGGAGGAGGGGCTGGGGGCCTGGACTCCTGGGTCCAAGGGAGGAGGGGCTGGGAGCATGGACTTCTGGGTCCGAGGGAGGAGGGCCGGGTGCCTGGACTGCTGAGTCTGAGGGAGGAGGGGCTGGGGGCCTGATTCATTCCCAAATTATCAGAATCTCATCCCCATGTCTGGCCCTGCACAGAGATATCTTCCCTGAACTCTGCCTGAACTACCTTTCTTAGATTGAGTATTGCACACACTCCTGCACTTACCTGTCCATGTTTGTCACCCCCACCAAACCGGGATGCACCTCTGGGCACCTGCTTCCCCTTGCACTGCTCACAGCGAGTGTATCTGATCACCACCTCCTACCCCTGACTGTGCCTGAGGTGCCAGGAGCAGACACCGCTGGAAACAGGGAAGAATTCAACCCAATCTAACTAGGAGTAAGTTTTCTTCCTCATCAGATGAACTGTCATCTTCTTATATGAGCCCTGCCATAATGGAGATTATACAGGCAGGAAGAGCTATTTTAAGACCTTAGTCAATGGCCGGGCACGGTGGCTCACGCCTGTAATCCCAGCACTTTGGGAGGCCGAGACAGATGGATCACGAGGTCAGGAGATTGATACCAGCCTGGCCAACATGGTGAAACCCTGTCTCTACTAAAAATACAAAAATTAGCTGGATGTGGTGGCACTCACCTGTAGTCCCAGCTACTCAGGAGGCCGAAGCAGGAGCATCACTTGAACTCGGGAGGTGGAGGTTGCAGTGAGCCGAGATTGCCCTACTGCATTCCAGCCTGGCGACAGAGTGAAATTCTGTCAAAAAAAAAAAAACCTTAGGCCTGTAGACCTTAAGCTCTCACCATCTCAAACGTATTAAACCAGTTACACAATGCCAAATGCTGTATAAGAGGCACTTGGAGGAGTCAAATTCATAGAGACAGAAAACAGAGTGGTGGCTGCAGGGGGCTGGAGATGAGATTGGGAAGTCACAGGATTTGTTTTTGTTTGTTTGTTTGTTTTGTTTTGTTTTTTGAGAGACAGTCTCACTGTGTCACCCAGGCTGGAGAGCAGTGGGCGATCTCAGCTCACTGCAACCTCTGCCTCCTAGGTTCAAGCGATTCTCCTGCCTCAGCCTCCCGAGTAGCTGGGGCTACAGGCACGTGTCACCACACCCGGCTAATTTTTGTATTTTTAGTAGAGACGGGGTTTCACCATGTTGGCCAGGTTGGTCTCAAACTCCTGACCTCAGGTGATCCACCTGCCTCGGCCACCCAAAGTGCTGGGATTACAGGCATGAGCCACCGCACCCGGCCGGGAAGCTGTTTTTTAATAGATACAGAGTTTGTTTTGCAAAATAAAAAAAAGACCTGAAGGTGGACGGTGGTGATGGTTGCACAACAATGTGAATATACTTAACATCACTGAATTGTACACTTAAAATGGTTAAGATGGTACATTTTACTTTATGCATAGTTTACCAAACTAAAAATAAAGAAAAATTTTAGACTGGGCATGGTGGCTCATGCCTGTAATCCCAGCACTTTGGGAGGCCAAAGTGGAGAATAGTATGAGCCCAGGAGTTTGAGAGCGGCCTGGACAACACGGCAAAACCTTATCTCTACAAAAAATACAAAAATTAGCAGGTTTGGTGGCACGCATCTGCACCCTCAGCTACTTGGGAGGCTGAGGTGGGAGGTCTGCTTGAGCCCAGGAGGTCAAGGCTATGATGAGCTGTGATTGTGCCACTGCACCCCAGGCTGGGTGACAGAGCAAGACCCCATCTCAAAAATAATAATAATAAATGTTTACATTTAATAACATGGGCAATTGGTTCAGATGTTCATTTTCTCAACCTTGAAAAAAAAACAACACTGTTTTTCCCTGTCTTTTTCTCCTTTTCTGTAAACTGAAATCCTAATATCATTGACTTCCAGGACAGAGATCAGCAAACTTTTTCTACAAACAGCCAGATAGTAAATAATTTCAGCTTTGTGATCCACACAGTGGCTGTTGCACCTCCTCTGCCAGAGGAGCTGGGAAGCAGCCACAGATGATGTGAAAACAAGTGAGCACAGCTGTGTTCCCATAAAACTTTATTTATAAAAATAAGCAGTGCGCCACAGTTCGCCAGCTCCTGTTTGAGAGTCTCTCTCCGATGCCCAGGCTGGAGCGCAGTGATGCAATCTCAGCTCACTGCAACCTCTGCCTCCTGGGTTCAAGCGATTCTCCTGCCTCAGCCTCATGAGTAGCTGGGATTACAGGCGCTCGCCGCCACACCTGGCTGATTTTTGTATTTTTAGTAGAGACGGGGTTTCACCATGTTGGCCAGGCTGGTTTTGAACTCCAGGCTTCAGGTGATCCACCTGCCTCAGCCTCCCAAAGTGCTGGGATTACAAAGCGTGAGCCACTGCGCCCAGCTACCTGTCATTGAATTTGGAAGGATGGCATGAAGTCATTCATAACAAGGACTTAATCCATAGTAAGTGCCAGAACATTGCTGGCTGTTAATATGGTTATTATAAAGAGAACAATGCATGCATATTCCTCCTCTGAGGATCTCCTACCTGATTCCCAGACACACCCAAGGGAGTTAGAACATCTGTTTGGACTCCAGGTGGGCTGTCCACGCCTTTACCATTTTCCTGGTTGTTAACATGTTCCTGATCAGCACTGGGTGCTGTCCCAGGTGCTGAGAGGATTCTCCCACAATGCCCTTTGCTTTCCCCATCAGAGGGTTTATGGCACCCAATTCTCATTCACATTCTGTCTCTCCTTTCTCGTTCTTCTCTATCTCTCCTCTCTCTGTCTCCTTTTCTCTTCCTCTCTCCCTCTCTGTCTTCTCTCCCTCTCTCTCCCTCTCTCTTCCTCTCTCTCTTCCTCTGTCCTCTTTTCTCTCTCTCTCTCCCTCTCTCTCACATCTCTCTTTCCCTTCCTTTCTCTTTCCTCTCTCTTCCTCTCTCCCTCTCCCTCCTTCTGTCTTCCTCTATCCCTCTCTTCCTCTTTTTTCTTCCTCTCTTCTTGTCTCTTTCTCTCCTCTCTCTCTCCCTCTTTCTCTTTCTCTCTCTCTTCCTCTCCCTTCCTCTTCCTCTCTCTCCTTCTTTCTTCCTCTCTCTCTTCTTGTGTGTGTCTCTCTCTCTCTGTTCTCTCTCTCCCTCTCCCCCCAACTCTCTTTCCCTACACACATCTTAAGAGGCCTCAGCAGTGTAAGGTAAGTTTAGCGACCCTGTGGCTGTGTAGAGATAAGCAAAGGGGGGCAAGGAGCTCCAGTGGTCCCAGACTCCAGCCATTTGAGTCTTTGCAGCCCAAGCACTGCCCCAGCTTCTTGACAGCCCCAGCCATCACCAAAGGGCACACAGATAAGCTGCCTCCACCAAGGCCTGTGCAGATGGTAGGTTTTTGAGTAAAATAGATATGATCCTTGTCTGAAGCCACTGAGTTTTAGAATAATTTGTTATATGGCCATAGTAACTGGAATGATTGCTGTAGGTTTATTTTATTTTATTCATCCTTGCTGCATGCAACACATGCATGGCTCAGTAACTAGAAGGAAAGAAGAGAAGAAGGGAGGGAGAGGCAGAGGGTGGACAGGAGAGGATGGTAGGAAGGAAAGACAGGAAAGGAGGGTGTTGGTGGCCTTGCCTGCAAGCTGAGCAGACACCACGCAAACAGGTGACCTCCCAGTTAAGATGGAGGGGACTCAGGGCTCAGGAGGGGCAGAAGGTCCCCGTGTCGGAGAGCTGGGCAAGCTTTCTGCAGGAAATGATGGGGATCACGGCCATGTGAGCCGGCAAGATTTCCCTCAGCCAGGGAGGAGACTCCGGGCTGTGGGAACAGCTTAAGCAGAAGGCATGGGACAGGAATGCATATGAGAGATATTGTGGGAGGAGGGAGGGCTGCCTGGGCTGGCATGCAGGGTATGGGAGGGGGTGGAAGGGCTGAGGCGGGAGCCATCAGTAAAAGGACCCAGAGCGCGGCTCCAATGCCATGGTAGGAAGCTTGGCGTTGACTCAGAGGGCGCTGGGTACCGCTGAAGAGTGTTGAGCCAAGGAGGGTCATGTCACGGGCAGATACATGTTTTAGAATTTCTTCTTTTCTGGCTGAGATGTAGAGTATGGACTGGAGAGAAGCACAGGGGACATAGGAAAGGTAGTTCTAGAAAGAGGGGCTGTCCCACCAGGGAAAGTCAACCAACTGTTCCCCAGTATCCATTCCTCCCTTCCAGCTCATGGCACTAAAGCCACTGATTGATTAGCTGGGTGCTATCAATCTCTCTCTCATCTCTCTCTCCCTCTTTCTCTCCCCCTCATCTGTGTCTTTTCTCTCTCTCATCTCTCTGTCTCCCTCTTTCTGTCCCCCTCCTCCGTGTCTCCTCTCTCTCTCTTCTCTGTCTCATATCTCTCTCATTGCTCTCTCCCTCTTTCTCTCCCCCTCCTGTGTCTCCTTCTCTCTCTCTCTTTCTCCCCCATCTCTCTTTCTCTCCCCCTTCCTCTCTTTCTCCTCTCACTCTTCCTGTTTCTCTCTTTCTCTTTCTTCCTCTCTTTCTCCCTGTCTCTCTCTTCCTCTTTTCCTTTGTCTCTCTCTCTCCCCCCAACTCTCTCTCCCTACACACATCTTGAGAGACCTCAGCAGTGTAAGATAAGTTTAGCTACTCCACGGCCTGGCACGGTAGCTCACGCCTTTAATCCCAGCACTTTGAGAGGCCAAGGCAGGCAGATCACTGGAGATTAGGGGTTTGAAACCAGCCTGGCCAACATGGTGAAACCCTGTCTCTACTACAAGTACCAAAAAATTAGCTGGGCATGGTGGCACGCGCCTGTAGTCCCAGCTACTCGGAAGGCTGAGGCAGGAGAATCGCTTGAGCCTGGGAGGCGGAAGTTGCAGTGAGCCGAGACCACACCTCTGCACTCCAGCCTGGGTGACAGAGTGAGATTCTGTCTCAAAAAAAGAAAGAGGAGGCCGGGCACTGTGGCTCAGGCCTGTAATCCCAGCACTTTGGGAGGCCGAGGCATGCAGATCACGAGGTCAGGAGATCGAGACCATCCTGGCTAACACAGTGAAACCCCGTCTCTATTAAAAATACAAAAAAATTAGCCAGGCACGGTGGCGGGTGCCTGTAGTCCCAGCTACTCGGGAGGCTGAGGCAGGAGAATGGCGTGAACCCGGGAGGCGGAGCTTGCAGTGAGCCGAGATCGCGCCACTGCACTCCAGCCTGGGCGACAGAGCAAGACTCTGTCAAGAAAGAAAGAAAAGAAAAGAAAAAAAGAAAAGAATAAAGGGAGGGAGGGAAGGGAAAGGAAGGGAAGGAAGGAAGGAAGGAAGGAAGGAAGGAAGGAAGGAAGGAAGGAAGGGGAGGGGAGGGGAGGGGAAGGGAGGGAAGAAAGGCAGGCCCTGATGTTCAGGGAGCTGAGAGTGAAGTCACCGGCTCCAACCCAGGATCCAAACTCAAGTCTGTCTGGGGTCCTATCCCCGTCACCACCCCCCGCCCCGACCCATCCCCCAGAGACCTGGGAAGGAGCCAGGCTCCTCCGGTTTCAGGAAAGGGCTGCACAAACCACCCCGCCACGATCCCTCCCAGAGAACAAACAGCTCCCGGCCACCGGCAGTCTCCCTCCTCCTCCTGCCAGGCTGGTTCCCAGACCCACCCTCCCTGTGTCATAAGCGCCTCTCCCCGCACTCTCACCAGGGCTGGCTGTTCTCAGAGGAACGCCCAGGAAAAACCTACCCGAACCCCTTTCAGCTGGGAAGGGGACCCGCCTGGGCTTCCTCACCGCCGATGAGACCTCCCTCGTCGTACACTTAGAGCTGCCTGTGTTTTCCTTCCTTCCTTAAGCGGGCTGGGAACTCTAGACACTCAGGGATGGGCCAGCCCATTAGAGTAAGCATTCGGCCACCTCTAGGCTGCTACGGTCACTGCTGCTGTCACCATCAACGTGACTGTCTCACACCTCACTTCCTCCGGCCAGCCACACCCCTGCAGATTTAACCCGCCAGCCTCCCTAAGGTTTCCTCTGCCTGAAATCCTCTCTGCATTCCTGGCTCATTCTCGAAATTGAGGTCAAAGCTCAGATGCCGCCTCCTTCCCTGACCACCCTACCTGAAGCAGCCGCACCTGCCTGCTCCTAGTCACGCCGTTCCTTCACCTGTTTCGTTTCCTCCACAGGGTTTACCACAATCTGAAAGTCTTATTCATGCAGGTGTCTACTTGTTTATCTCCCCACCACACCTACTAGGATGACAATATCACAAGGGCTGGGGTTTCATCTGTCTCCTCCTCCTCTGTATCTCCAGCACATGAAACATGCTTGGCACACTGTAGGTGCTTAAGTATTTGCTACTACATCACTTTGGGATTTTGCATAGGACACTCCCAATGCTTAGAATGTCAATCTTTGCTTCATTGTCCTTGGCAAACTCCTATTCATCCTTTGAAACCCCATCCATTTATCCCTTAACCAGGAAAGGCTTCTGTGCCTCATACAACCACCCATAAAGCTGGATTAGGGCTTTCTCTGGGGACACCCTTGCCCTGTGCCACACTTCCATTAGCGCACATATCCCCCATGAATTGTGCACACCAGCAGGGTCTAGAGTACGGCACACATTTTGTCTCAGGAGCTACGTATTGAATAAATAAATTAATTACTTTTTTTGAGACAAGGTCTTGCTCTGTCACCCAGGCTGGAGTGCAGTGGTGCAATCGTGGCTCACTGTACCTTGACCTCCCAGGTTCAAGCAATCCTCCCACCTCAGCCTCCCAAGCAGCTAGGACCACAGATGCAGGCCACTATGCCTGGCTAATTTTTAATTTTTTTTTTGGTAGGGATGGAATCTCCCTATGTTGCCCAGGCTGGTTTCAAACTCCTAGGCTCAAGGGATCCTCCTGCCTCTGCTTCCCAAAGTACTGGGACTATAGGTGTGAGACGCCACACTCAGCCTCATTATTTAATATGTAAGTAGCTATATCTCTCTGAGACCCAGCCCCATCTAATTTATAACCTCCCTCCTTCTCAAGAACATGCCTCAGCTCCCATTGCCAGGGAATCTGACCTTTCTCCTTGTCATAGGATTTTTTTTTTTTTTTGAGTCAGAATCTCAGTCAGTCACCCAGCCTGGAGTGCATGGCGCAATGGCTCGCTGCAACCTCTGCCTCCCGGGTTCAAGTGATTCTCCTGCCTCAGTCTCCCTAGTAGCTGGGACTACAAGCGCACGCCACCACACCCAGCTACTTTTGTAGAGATGGGGTTTCACCATGTTGGCTAAGCTGGTCTCGAACTCCTGATCTCAAGTGATGGCCTCCCAAAATGCTGGGTAACAGGTGTGAGGCACCACATCCGGCTGTCATAGGAATTTGTCAGCAAATCCTACAGACTAGAGGATGTGTGTTGGGTGGTGTGGGGGTGGGGATAACGGAGGAGATGGGGGGTGAGCTCTTCAAGCCCCAGGGGAGAATTCTGTTCCGTTCCTGGGACATCCCAGGTGAGAGGGAAGAAAGGCCAGCCCCCCAAGACAGCTATCCCAGACTGGGACAGAGGCAAACCCTGACCACAGAGCCCTGTCACTCACCCAAGAACAGGTGCCAATGACAGAATAGCCAGGCCGAGGGGGGAGAGAGGTGCTTCGGTGATGGATTTCCCTGGTGACTTGCCAAGACAGGGCTTTACTGCCTCCGCCCTGGACTGGCTGAGTCAGACTGTGCAGGGGTGGACACTTTGACTGGTATTTGGGAGGCATTTGCTGTGGGTTACAGAGAGGGAGGGGCCTCCTTTGCGGCCAGAGAAGGAGGAAAGAGGCCCTGGGCCCTGGGACTTGGGACTTGGGTGGAGGCTCGGGTTTCGGTCTCACCTGCTGCTCCAGACCATGGCCTGGAGGGCCGCCTGCGCCACCCCCAAAGCAATGAGATAGCCCCTCCTCCCTCAGACCCAGGAGTCCAGGCCCCCAGCCCCTCCTCCCTCAGACCCAAGAGTCCAGACCCCAGCCCCTCCTCCCTCAGACCCAAAGGCCTCGGACCCATACCAAATGCTTCTATGAGATAGTTTTCTCCCCTTGTTCATGAAGAAATGAGCCCAGGCCCAGTCAGATCTGCATCTGTGTCACAGCCCAGGGCCACTGTAACCTTAGGCTACTGACTTCCCTCTCTGAGCCTCTGTTTTCTCCTGTCAATGGGGCAAGGGGTCTGCTCCTTCCCTCAAACCCCAACTCAGGTACAGTCAAGCACAGAAAATACTTGTGGCATGAATGTGATGAGAACACAGAATTGCAGAAGCCAAAGAAAGAGAAGCGTAAGGGCCCTCCTTCCACCCCTACCTCCCCCACCCGCTGCTACACGCACCAGGACCACCTGCTGGGTAGCCAGGAGCTCACAGTCTAGCCCCGCTGGCCACCCCTGCAGCCCCCATCCTTCACTCAGGCAGTTGCAGGGCCCAGAACACCCCTATCTTCTAGGATTGACACTGGCTGTCAAACTCATCCTTCAAGGTGATTCCTGGCCTGCCCTCCTCCTCCAGGCAGCCTGTCCTCCTCCTCCAGGCAGCCTGTCCTGACCCTCAGCAGCCTCTCCTGGCCTTGGCAGAGCCCCTCGTGTCCTCCCTTGCAGCACGCATGGGAAGAAAGGCCATCGTCCTCGCCATTGCTAACACCAGCCTTGCGTTTCCTCTTTGCCAGGTACTGTATTGACAACTCTCTATAACCTGACTTTATCCTCCCAATAAGCTGGGTGTGGTGGGTGGCTCATGCCTGTCATCCCAGCACTTCGGGAGGATAAGGCAGGAGTATCACATGAGCCCAGGAGTTGGAGACCAGCCTGGGCAACATAAGGAGACTCTACTATATATATGTGTATATATATTTATATATAGTCTGAGATGGGAGGATCACCCCAGTAGGTCGAGACTGCAGTGAGCTGTGATTATGACACTGCATTCTAGCCTGGGCCACAGAACTAGACCTTGTCTCAATTAAGAAAAAAAATGGGGATAATAGGACCCATTCCATAGGATGTGGTGAGGATTATGCATACACACACACACACACACACACACACATTTATGATGTACTGAGAAGATATAAGCACACAATAAGTATCTCCAAAATTATCAAGTGGCAAAGCCAGGATTCAGACCCACACCTGCCCGAGGCTCTCTGCCATCAGACCACACTATATCTCTTTCTCTCTGTTCCTTCATCCCCATCAATCGAAGGCAAAAATGTGCCTTCTCTGATTTCCAGGCTCACTCAGCATAGACCGTGGAGGCAACATATCTTGAATGAAGCAACAAAGCAGTAATGCACATGAATGCACCAAATGCCAAAAGCTCGTTTACTCAACAAGTATCTCTCCAACACTTTCTATGTGCTAGACCCAATTCTGTGTGCTGCAGATTAAGTGGAGGACTGATCACACAAAAATCTTTGCCCTTGTGAAGCTTGCATTTTTTTTTTTTTTTTTTTGAGATGGAGTCTTGCTCTGTCACCCAGGCTGGAGTGCAGTGGAGCAATCTTGGCTCACTGCAATCTCCACCTCCCGGGTTCACGCCATTCTCCTGCCTCAGCCTCCGGAGTAGGTGGGACTACAGGCACCCACCACCAAGCCTGGTTAATTGTTTTGTATTTTTAGTAGAGACGGGGTTTCACCATGTTAGCCAGGATGGTCTCAATCTCCTGACCTCGTGATCCACACGCCTCGGCCTCCCAAAGTGCTGGGATTACAGGCGTGAGCCACCACACCCGGCCGCTTTTTTTTTTTTTAAGATGGAGTCTCGCTCTGTCACCCAGGCTGGAGTGCAGTGGCACGATCATCTCGGTTCACTGCAACCTCCACCTCCCAGGTTCAAGTGACTCTCTTGCCTTGGTCTCCCAAGAAGCTGGGATTACAGGTGTGCACCACCAACTCTGGCTAATTTTTTTTTTTTTAGTAGAAATGGGGTTTTATCATGTTGGTGACATGGTGTGATCTCGGCTGACTGCAACCTCCACCTCCGGGGTTCAAGCAATTTTCTTGTCTCAGCCTCCCAAGAAGCTGGGATTACAGGTGTACACCACCACCCCCGGCTAATTTTCATATTTTCAGTAGAGACGTGCTTTCACCATGTTGGCCAGGTTGGTCTCGAACTCCCAACCTCAAGTGATCAATCCGCCTCAGCCTCCCAAAGTGCTGGGATTACAGGCATGTGCCACCGTGCCCAGCCTGTGAAGCTTGCATTCTAACGGAGGAGACACAGACAAAATGAACCAGGAACACAGTGGGTAAGAAGGTGAAAAGTTCTCCACACAAAAATGAAGTAGGGAGAGAGGAAAGAGACTACAAAGAAGTTGGGTTGCCGGGGGCGGTGGCTCACACCCATAATCCCAGCACTTTGGGAGGCCGAGGCGGGCAGATCACGAGGTCAAGAGATCGAGACCATCCTGGCCAACATGGTGAAATGCTGTCTCTACTAAAAGTACAAAATTAGCCGGGCGTGGTGGCGCGCGCCTGTAGTCCCAGCTACTCAGGAGGCTGAGGCAGGAGAATCACTTGAACCTGGGGGGGCGGAGGTTGCGGTGAGCCAAGATTGCGCCACTGCACTCCAGCCTGGGCAACAAGAGTGAAACTCTGTCTCAAAAAAAACAAAAGAAGTCGAGTAAGGGATGCCGCCATTTGAAACAGGGTGGTCAGCCAGTCCTCTGAGAAGGTGACATTCAGGCAAAGATCAAAGGAGGCAAGAAAGTGAGGCATGAGGGTATCTGGTAGAAGAGCATTCCAGGCAGAGGAAACAGCAAGTGCAAAGGCCCTGAGGCAGGACCGGGTCTGGATGTTCCAAGAGCAGCAAGGAGGCCAGTGTGCTGACACACAGAAGGAAGAGATGAGATCAGAATCACGTCCCTTAAGGCCTTGCAAGATGTCAGCTTTTTTTTTTTCTTCTTTTTTGAGACAGAGTCTCGCTCTGTCGCCCAGGCTGGAGTGCAATGGCGCAATCTCGGCTCACTGCAAGCTCCGCCTTCCAGGTTCACGCCATTCTCCTGCCTCAGCCTCCCGAGTAGCTGGGACTACAGGTGCCCACCACCACGCCCGGCTAATTGTTTGTATTTTTAGTAGAGACGGGGTTTCACCGTGTTAGCCAGGATGGTCTCGATCTCCTGACCTCGTGTTCCACCCGCCTCGGCCTCCCAAAGTGCTGGGATTACAGGTGTGAGCCACTGCGCCCGGCCTGTTTTCTGTTTTTTGAGATGGAGCCTCGCTCTCTTGCCTAGGCTGGAGTGCAGTGGTGCAATTATCGGCTCGCCGCAACCTCTGCCTCCCGGGTTCAAGTGATTTTCCTGCCTCAGCCTCCTGAGTAGCTGGGATTACAGGCACCCGCCACCACACCTGGATAATTTTTGTGTTTTTAGTACAGATGGGGTTTCACCATGTTGGCTGGGCTGGTCTCGAACTCCTGTCCTCAGGTGATCTGCCTGCCTCGGCCTCCCAAAGTGCTGGGATTAGAGATGTGAGCCACTGTACCCATGCAAGTTTCTTAACCCTTCTCTTCCTCATTTTCTCATCTGTGAGACGAAGACAGCCTCCCACCCAGACACACTCCCCTCACGGGGCTCTGGGGAGAAATGATGTGGAAAGCTTTGCTAGTAACCTCTACAGCATGGAGGGAGTTCTGGAAAAGTGATTTCAGAAAGGTGTTTATGCCTGGAAAGCCTGTTCATTTTTGTGATGTCCTTGGAGCTGGGCCAGGCATTATCGAGCTAAATCTTAGCTTTTGTCAGAATAGGGGGGTCATTGAGGGAAATTTCCAAAGGAAGGTGGAACGGGATGGGTGGGGAGGTAAGGGCATGAGCAGAGGCAGTGATCGTGGGCAGGAGGTGTCCATAGAAGACGGGCTGCCACTGGCCCTGGAGACAGAAGGTCAGCCCCGGGTTCAAATCCCTCCTTAACCAAGTGCTGAAATGGACAAGTTGCTCAACCTCTCTGGCCTTCAGCTTCCTCATCTGTCAAGCAGGAATCAAACCTCGAACTTCCTCCCGCTGTTAGAATTTCAAGGGAGTTTTAAAGACAGAGCTTTCAACTCTGACCTGTGAACAAGTGTGACATCAAATGTACTGTTCGTTGCTATTATTCTGTTGCTACAAGGCAGACAGTTAGTTTCCCAGCTCCCCTGCAGTCCCCCCAGCCCCTCCTAGATCTGTCTGCCAGCCCCGCCCCGGGGTCACTCCAGCCAGGCTGTGCCAGGTGAATGCTCAGGTATGCGGAGGCGGAGGCGGAGGCAGGACGGCCCTGGGAGGGAGCAGGAGGAGGGGCCGGCAGCCTGGAAGGGAAAGGACAGCGGAGAGCAGGGCAGAGCCTGAGCAGGCAGGTAAGGAGATCCGGGTCAGGAGAGAAGGGGGCCGGGGCTTGACCAATGGGTCTGAGGGACGGGGGGACTGGGGTCTGGACTCCAGGGTCTCAGGGAGGACGGGCTGGGGGTCTGAACTCCCGGGTCTGAGGGAGGAGGGCCTGGGGTCCTGGACTCCTAGGTCTGAGGGAGGAGGGGCTGAGGGCCTGGACTCCTGGGTCTGAGGGAGGAGGAGATGGGGCCTGGACTCCTGGGTCTGAGGGAGGAGTGGACTGGGGTCTGGACTCCTGGGTCTGAGGGAGGAGGGGACTGGGGTCTGGACTCCTGGGTCTAGGGAAGAGGGACTGGGGCCTGGACTTCTGGGTCTGAGGGAGGAGGGGCTGGGGGCCTGGACTCCTGGGCCTGAGGGAGGAGGGGCTGGGGCCTGGATGCCTGCATTGAGGGAGGAGGCTGGGGTAGGAATTAGAGGCTCCTACTGGCCAGGCCTTCACATGTTTGCTGGCTCCCAGGGCACCTCCAGGTGGGCAGGAGCTACCACTCAGCACCATGAGCACCGCCACAGGGTAAGCGCCCCCGGACCCCAGGTCCCAGCCCCAGCACGCCTCCCGCCTCCCCTCGCCTCCTCACCCACACCCGCTTGCGGCAGCCCAGACTGTTTGCGGCGGCCCAGACTCTGGCCCAAGCCCCGACACTCAGGAGGAAGCCAGAGCCTCTCTCCTCCCTGCCCAGCCTGGGGTTAGGGGCCCCCACTGCAGAGCAGACAGGCCTGAGCTCCAGTTCGGCCCTCACACTCAGTGCTGATGTAACCCTGGTCAGAGGACATCACCTCCTGGAGCCTCAGCCCCTCCTCTGTGACACAGGGACAATGTTGAAAAATTGGAGGGATAGTGCATTACAGGACTTAGCTGACCACCTCACTGACAGCAGGTGCTCAACTCATAGGAGTCGCTATTGCGATTGTTATGTTGTTAGTAAATATTAACCCTTTGCTAGAAAATCAGGGCTGTTTATAATGAAGACTCAAGTCCCCCAGAGTAAGCAGGGAGAAAAACAATGAGAGATGAGTCAAAATACCTGCATGGTAGGTAGTGAGCTCTCTGGCCCAGAGGTAATCAAATTGTGGTGACATCAGACTGGCAGGAGCAGGATGAGGAACAGGAGTTTGGGAAAAAGGGTTTTTCAGTTCCCCTGACGCCACCTGATCGCTGAGCTTCTGTTATGTGCATGCAAGTGGGGATTCAAGAATTCTTAGGAAAGGTAATCTTAGGAAGAAATTGAGGACGGGAGGAGACAGAGAAGGATGTGGTTGGGAAGCACCTGGCCCATGGGAGTGGGAGGGGAAGCAGATAATTCCCTGTCTACTTCAGATACCACTAATGCTATTATAACCATTCCCATTTATTGAGCAACTTCTGTGTGCTAAGCCCTGGCAGCATCTTAAGAATGATAATAACAGTTATTGAGGCTTCAAAATACTTCACCTGCATCATCTGACTGAATTTGCCCAACAGCCCTACCAGATGGTTACTACGTTACAGAAAGAAAAACTGAGGCAGGAGAGATTAAATCCTCTTCTGAAGGTCTTATGGCAAGGAGGCAGTAGACAGAGGGTTTGAATCCCGGACTATGCCATGGTAGAGATCACACTCCCCTACCACCCAGCACCACCGCCTGACCTGACCTGTCTTTTTTTTTTTTTTTTTTTTTTTGAGATGGAGTCTCACTCTGCTGCCAGGCTGGAGTGCAGTGGCACGATCTGGACTCACTGCAACCTCCGCCTCCCAGGTTCAAGTGATTCTCCTGCCTCAGCCTCCCACGTAGCTGGCACTACAGGCGCCCACCACCACACCCAGCTAATTTTTGTATTTTTAGTAGAGACAGGGTTTCACCATGTTGGCCAAGATGGTCTCAATCTCTTGACTTTGTGATCCGCCCACCTCTGCCTCCCAAAGTGCTGGGATTACAGGCGTGAGCCACCGCGCCCAGCCTACCTGTCTTCTTAAAGTCCAGCTCTGGCTCTGAGCTCTCCTGCTCAATAATAATAATAATAATAATAATAATAATAATAATAATAACCCTTCCATCGCTCCCCATTACCTTCGTCATGAAGCCCTTGCTGCCCTGCTTGGCATTTCCACAGGATCTGCCCCCAGTCCCACAGTCTCTCTCATTCCTCTTTTCTTCACCAGCCCAGAAGCTGCCCCAAAGCCAAGCGCCAAGTCTATCTATGGTGAGCGGGGGGCAAGGGAGCCCCAGGCCCATAGAACTGGGTCTAAAGAAACAGGACCTGGCATCCAGGGTCTTGGAGGAGGAGGGGCTGGGGGTCTGGACTCCTGAGTCAGAGGGAAGAGGTGCTGGGGGTCTGGACTCCTGGGTCAGAGGGAAGAGGGGCTGGGGGGCTGGACTCCTAGGTTTGAGGGAGGAGGGGCTGGGGGCCTGGACTCCTGAGTCAGAGGGAAGAGGTGCTGGGGGCCTGGACTCCTGGGTCAGAGGGAAGAGGGGCTGGGGGGCTGGACTCCTGGGTCAGAGGGAAGAGGGGCTGGGGGGCTGGACTCCTGGGTCAGAGGGAAGAGGGGCTGGGGGGCTGGACTCCTGGGTCAGAGGGAAGAGGGGCTGGGGGGCTGGACTCCTGGGTCAGAGGGAAGAGGGGCTGGGGGGCTGGACTCCTGGGTCAGAGGGAAGAGGGGCTGGGGGTCTGGACTCCTGAGTCAGAGGGAAGAGGGGCTGGGGGGCTGGACTCCTGGGTCAGAGGGAAGAGGGGCTGGGGGCCTGGACTCCTGGGTCAGAGGGAAGAGGGGCTGGGGGCCTGGACTCCTGGGTCAGAGGGAAGAGGGGCTGGGGGTCTGGACTCCTGGGTCAGAGGGAGGAGGGGCTGGGGGGCTGGACTCCTGGGTCAGAGGGAAGAGGGGCTGGGGGCCTGGACTCCTGGGTTTGAGGGAGGAGGGGCTGGGGGCCTGGACTCCTGGGTCAGAGGGAAGAGGGGCTGGGGGGCTGGACTCCTAGGTTTGAGGGAGGAGGGGCTGGGGGCCTGGACTCCTGGGTCTGATGGAGGAGGGGCTGGGCCTGGACTCCCAGGCTCATTCTCTTTCTCCCCTGGCAGAGCAGAGGAAGCGTTACTCCACAGTTGTTATGGCTGATGTATCCCAGTACCCAGTCAATGTGAGTCTGGGGTCTGTGTTCCCCCAGGACATCTTCTGGGGCAAAGGTGGCCTCAGGAGATAGGGCTTTTGAAAGCAGCTAGGCCCCCAAGCAGGAAGCATGTGGAAAGTCAGTTTGCCCATCCATAAAATGGACCTCCGTTGCCTCACCTCAGTCATGGATATGAAGCCAGGGGCCTCGGGTCCACTTAATCTGCCAGCCTTTCCTCCAGGCCAGCTGTTGTGCTGGACAGTGGGACCACGGAGGCAAATCAAGACACAGCCCTGCATGAGGAAGGGGTAGACAAGGTCCAGAGGAATCCACAGAGGCGCCTGGTGCTCTAATGGAGGTGGCAGGGGGCATGGCAGGAGACCCGAGGAGGCATTTAGAAGGAGAGAGCTATAATCCAGACTCCTTCCCTGCCCGCAAGGAGCCTCCAGTCTGTGAGAAGCCAGACTCAGGTGCTAGTCACTCTGATGAAAGGGAAACAAAGGGCACTGGGAGGAGGAGCTGATTTGTGGAACAGGTGATCAAGGAAGGCTTCCTGGAGGAGGTGTGGTTAGTCTCAGGCTGAAAGTCTGATTATTCTGGGGGATTCTGAGCCCACCTGGCATCATCTTGGGCCTCACTGCTTTCTCCATGGTCCGTACCAGCACCTGGTGACGTTCTGCCTGGGTGAGGACGATGGCGTGCATACCGTGGAGGATGCCTCCAGGAAGTTGGCCGTCATGGATAGCCAGGGCCGAGTCTGGGCACAGGAGATGCTGCTGCGAGTGTCTCCCGACCATGTCACGCTGCTCGACCCGGCCTCCAAGGTGCCGGGGGGCACGTGGGTGGGAGGAGTGTCTGGGGCAGGGACTTCAGGGGGTCTGGGTGTGAATCTTGGCTCCTGCACGTCCTTCCTCTGGGAACTCTGGCGAGGGACCCCAGCCCCCTTCTTGAGCCTTAATAGCCTCATCTATTAAACAGGGCTGTTATCCCTAACCCCCTAACCGCCTGAGGTTGCCCTGACCTGCTGGCCCACACTCCCGTCGCCATTTAGTAGTACCATCATTTCGGGGCCTCAGTTTACCCCGCCATCCCACCCGGCAGGAGGAGCTGGAGTCGTACCCACTGGGCGCCATCGTGCGCTGTGACGCGGTGATGCCACCCGGCAGGAGCCGCTCGTTGCTGCTGCTCGTGTGCCAGGAACCCGAGCGCGCGCAGCCCGACGTGCACTTCTTCCAGGGCCTGCGCCTCGGGGTGAGCAGATGGGCTGGCTCTGGGGGTGGAGCTGGAACTGGGCGGAGCCTGGAGCCGGGGCGGAAATGGGTGGGGCCTCTAGGTGGGGCGGGGCCTGGGGCTAAGGCGGGATCAGAGCAAGGAAGGGCAGGGGACCTGGGAAGGAAGTTCTGGAAGGCAGTGGGGTTTGAGATTGGACCCAGGGTCAAGATAGAACATGAAGGTGGGATGAGGACATGAACAGAACATGGCCAAGAAGGATCTGGGGGAGCAGCCAGGACGAGGTGGGGGCGAGGAACCACCCGGACTGGGTCTCCATGGGCGGGGTCGTGGCTTAGGGCAGGGACAGGTGTAGGGCGAGGGGTGAGTTCGGGGCGTGGACGTGCGTGGGTTCACAGGTGTGAACGGTAGCCGCACGTGGGCTGGGACTGAGCTGAAAAATCGGCCAGGGGCGAGGCCCGGGTAGGAAGTGGGTGCGGCGTGGGGAGGCGTGGCCTGACGGTGTGATTGGCAGGCGGAGCTGATCCGAGAGGACATCCAGGGGGCTCTGCACAATTACCGCTCGGGCCGCGGGGAGCGCAGGGCGGCGGCGCTCAGGTGAGAGGGAAGAAGTTGGCAGGGTCTCTGGGAAGCCGGTTTCCCCTCCTTGTGCCTCAGTCTACAACACCAGCCTGGAACAGAACAAGAGTTTTGCATGGAGTCAAGCACACCCTAGTCGAGTCTTGTCTGTACCTCCCAGACGAGCTGACCCCTTCTCCAGAACTCTGCTTCTTTTCTCTGTTCCCTGTCCAGGCCCTCAGTTTCACTCTAGAGAGGTGCTATCCCTCCGTATATCGGATTTCTCCCTACCTCGTTGAACTTGTTCACTCCCTTTGAGCCTTTTGAGCCTGTGTGTCTCGTTCTGCGCCCTGGATTTCCCCCTCCCTGGACCCCTCAGTGGACCCAGTCTTGGTGTCCCCGTCGCCCTCCGCAGGGCCACGCAGGAGGAGTTGCAGCGCGACCGCTCGCCCGCCGCTGAGACCCCGCCCCTGCAGCGCCGCCCGTCAGTCCGCGCAGTGATCAGCACCGTAGAGCGGGGCGCGGGCCGCGGACGACCCCAGGCGAAGCCCATTCCCGAGGCAGAGGAGGCGCAGAGGCCTGAGCCGGTGGGGACCTCGAGCAACGCTGACTCGGCCTCCCCGGACCTGGGTCCCCGGGGTCCTGACCTGGCGGTTCTGCAGGCGGAGCGGGAAGTGGTGAGCCGCTAAGGAAGGGGTCTGGGGGCAGGGCCAGGCGACTGGAGGCGGGGCTAGGGCGTGGAAGGGCGGGGCCGGCTGCGGGACGGGCGTTCTCTGGTCAGACTTCTGCGTTATGGAAGAGGGGCTGGGTCGGGGGCGGGGCTTGGTTGTGGGGCGTGGCCAGGTGTTTGGGGCGTGGCCTGATCTGGGGAAGTGTATAGGTGCTCAGGTTCAGGGCTTCGACGGGGATGGTTTTGGAACTCGGGAGCCCTGAGCGTCCCCCTCCTCTGTCCCCTAGGACATCCTGAACCACGTGTTCGACGACGTAGAGAGCTTTGTATCGAGGCTGCAGAAGTCGGCGGAGGCGGCCAGGGTGCTGGAGCACCGGGAACGCGGCCGCAGGAGCCGGCGCCGGGCGGCTGGGGGTAAGGGGCACCCTGGCGTGGGATCTGAACCCCCTCCCGATCTCTTCCAAATGTCCCCGCTCTCCCCAGGCTCTCCCCTCCCGCCACTTGCCAGGGCTGACCTCACCGCCATCTTAACCGGGTGTCCACCTCTCTCTGCCTGCCTGGTGCTGGCCCCGCGTCCCCATCGCCGCGCCCGTCTGCTCCCCTCAGAGGGCTTGCTGACGCTGCGGGCCAAGCCGCCCTCGGAGGCCGAGTACACCGACGTGCTGCAGAAGATCAAGTACGCCTTCAGCCTGCTGGTGAGGACGCGCCCGCCCCTGGGCCGGGGCGCGGGCACGACGAACCTGTCCCGTCCCCGCACCCACGCCAACCACCTCCCTCCCCACGCCCCAGGCCCGGCTGCGCGGCAACATCGCCGACCCCTCCTCTCCGGAGCTGTTGCACTTCCTTTTCGGGCCTCTGCAGATGGTGAGACCCGCCCCAGGCCCTCGGGCCCCCCTGCAGCGGGAGGAATCGGGTTCGACTTGTAGAAGGTGTGGCGGCACAGCCTGCCCCTCCTGCTCCCCTGACAGATTGTGAACACGTCGGGGGGGCCGGAGTTCGCGAGCAGTGTGCGGCGGCCGCATCTGACATCGGATGCCGTGGCGCTGCTGCGGGACAACGTCACTCCACGTGAAAACGAGCTCTGGACCTCGCTGGGGGACTCGTGGACCCGCCCCGGGTGAGGGGCGGGGCTGGGAGGCAGGGGGCATGGTGATTGGAGGAGCATAAGGCGCTGGGAGGTGGGTGGCATGATGATTGGAAAATAGGACTAGGAGAGTAGGGAGGGGTTAGAGGCGTGGCTTAGTTGTGTTGGGGCGGGGCTTAGGACAGATGCCAAGATTCAATTGGAGGAAAGGCCAGGAATTAACGTGAAGGAAAGATTTAAGACCACCAGACCAATCGGATTGAAAGAAAAGGGGGGCTTAAAGGAATAGAGGGGCTAGGGGCTACGGGGCAGGGGCGGGGCTACGCGAAGGGGCGGGGCTTCTGGAAGGTTTGGTCTATAACTTTGGTGATGGGACAGAGTCTGTGCACTGCGGGCTGGCAGTTCCGCAGGGAAAGGGTCAGAACCTGAAACCGACCTTACGGAAAACCTGATTTGGAATCAGGTGAGATTTAGAGGCTGGATAAGGCAATTTTTTTCCAGAGAGAGAGATGGATGGGGTCTCAATATTTTGCCCAGGCTGGTCTGGAACTCCTGGCCTCAAGCGATCCTCCCATCTTGGCCTCCCAAAATGCTGGGATTACAGGCGTGAGCCACCGTGCCCGGTCTAGAAATATAAATTGCTGTTGAGTTGGGCTTAGAGCTACCGGCAGGACTTGGTGAAAAGTGGCGGGGCTAGAATCGTTGGAATACAGCGAGCTTTAGGGGAAAACTTAGTGAAGTTAATGCAGGAACGAAGTTGGGGGCTGTATCAGGATCCCTGAGCTCTTGGCCCTGTCCCTGGCCGCAGGCTGGAGCTGTCCCCGGAGGAGGGACCCCCATACAGACCCGAGTTCTTCAGCGGCTGGGAGCCGCCGGTCACTGACCCGCAGAGCCGCGCCTGGGAGGACCCAGTTGAGAAACAGCTACAGCACGAGCGGAGGCGCCGGCAGGTGACCCAAGCGACACAGCAGGGCCGAGGCTGGGAAGTCCGGGGGCGCGGCCGGTCCGCCTGGCCCCGCCTGACCCGACTGTCTTACTTCCTACAGCAAAGCGCCCCCCAGGTCGCTGTCAATGGGTGAGTGTCCGCCCCAGGGCAGGGCAAGGGGGTCAAGGAGGGGTGCGTCCCGGGGGCTCCCGATGCTGACTCCGCCCCCTTTTTTTCTGTGTTTTTCCTTCTGTCTTCCTGGCTCTTCTCAGGTGGGTGAGATGGTGATGGGGCGGGCCGGGGCTGGGAGAGAGGGAGGAGCAGGGTGGGAGGGGGCGGGACCCAGACTTCTGGGGCTAAGGGAGTTGGGAATGGAGACCCGGATTCCTGGGCCTAAGGGAGGAAGGGGGCTGGGAGTGGGTAAAGTCTGAGAGGTTGGATCCCTGGATCCCCAAAAGGCTGGAAGAAGCCAGTTTGTTTTCCCAGGGCCTGGGAAGCACCATGCCTGGGCTCCCTAGGAGGACAGAGCCCTGGATATTGGAGGGGAGAGGCTGGGGAATTGGACCTTTGGGTTTTGAAGAAGAGCCCAAGTCTGGTGCTTGGGATCCTGGAGACCCAGAGGAGCAGGCTTGGGACTTCAAGGGCTTGGGGGCAAGTTTCTGGGAAAGTTAGGAAGTGGTAGTATCTCTGGGCCCCCGAGAGGGGTAAAGGCTGGACGATTAAACTCTTGGTTTTCCAGAGGCTCTAATGCAATTGTCTAAGTCGCTGCTGGGTGTCGGACTGGGTTAAAAGGTTTGAGGGTTAAAAGGATAAGATTGAAGCTT